>NC_000010.11:18646363-18797878 GCF_000001405.40 Homo sapiens | reverse complement strand
AAGTGCTGGGATTACAGGCATGAGCCACTGTGCCCAGTCACTAACTTCTTGATATAGGTGTTTAGTGCTGTAAAGTTTCCTCTTAACACTACTTTACCTGTGTCCCAAAGATTCTGTTACATTGTGTCTCTGTTTTCCTTAGTTTCAAAGAACATTTTTATTTCTGACTCATTATTGTTTTTTATCCAAAAGTCATTTAGGAGCAGGTTGTTTAACTTCCATGTAATTGTATGGGTTTGATAGATCTCCTTGGTATTGATTTCTGTTTGTATTGTGCTGTGGTCTAAGAGTGTGGTTAATGTGATTTCAGTTCTTTTGAATTTGTTGAGACTTGCTTCATGGCCAAGCATGTGATTAACACTAGACTTTGTGCCGTGTGGAAATAAGAAGAATGTATATTCTGTTGTTGTTGGGTGGAGTTTTCTATAGTTGGTTATTAAGTCCAATGAGTCACGTGTCGAGTTTCAGTCAAGAATGTCTTTGTTATTTTTGTGCCTCAAGATCTGTCTAACACTGTCAATGGGATGTTAAAGTGCCCCACTATTACTGGCTGGTTGTCTAAATATCTTAATAAATCTATAAGAACTTGTTTTATGAATCTGAGCACTTCGATGTTCGGTGTGTATATGTATTTGGGATAGTTAATCTTCTTGTTGGATCGAGCCCTTTATCATTATATAATTCCCTTCTTTTTCCTTTTTGATATTGTTGGCTTAAAGTTGGTTTTATCTGACATAAGTATAGCAAGCCCTGTACCTTTTTGCAAACTGTTTGCTCTATAAATCTTTCTCCATCCCTTTACTTTGAGTCTAGGGGTGCCATTACTTGTGAGATGGGTCTCTTGAAGACCAGGTCTTGCTTGTTTATTCAACTTGCCACTCTATATCTTAGCCCATTTACTTTCAGAATCAATATTGAGATATTAGATTTTGATCCTGTTATCATGCTGTTAGATAGTTGTTATGTAGACTTGATTGTATAGTTCCTTCATGGTGTCAATGAGCTATACACTTCAGTGTGTTTTTGTGGTGGCAATTATCATTCTTTCATTTCCATGCTTAGCACTCCTTTTAAGACTTCTTGTAAGGTAGGTCTCATTGTAATAAATTTCCTTAGCATTTGCTTCTCTGAAAAGGATTTCCTCTCTTCCTCGCTTATGAAGCTTAATTTGTAGTTTGGCAGAATATGAAATTCTTAGTTGGAACGTCTTCTATTTAAAGATGTTGAAAGTAGGCCCCCAATCTCTTCTGGCTCATAAGGTTTCTGCTGAAAGATCTGTTGTTAGCCTCATGGTGTTCCCTTTGTAAGTAATCTGCCCCTTCTTTTTCAGCTGCCTTTAAGATTTTTTCTTTTGCATTGACCTTGGAAAATGGTGACTATGTATCTTGGGGATAGTTATCCTACATAGTATCTCACATGGGTTCTCTGAATTTCTTGAATTTGCATGTCAATCTCTCTAGTGACATTGGGAAAAATTTTGTAAATTATATCTTCAAATATGTTTTCCAAATTGGTTACTCTCTCTTCTTCTCTTTCAGAAATGCAAATGAGTGATAGGTTTGGTCTCTTTACATAATCCCATATTTCTTGGAGGTTTTGTTCATTTTTTGAAATTATTTTTTCTTTATTTTTGTCTGCCTGTGTTGCTTCAGAGAAGTGGTCTTCAAGCTCTGAGATTCTTTCCTCAGCTTGGTCTATCGTGTTGTTAATGCTAATTGTATTTTGAAGGTTCCTTCTCATCTGTGAATGCTGATGTTCCTTTATCCTTTGGAATTGCTGCCCTTTGGGTGGGCTTTTTGCTTTTATGATCTTTATTGACCTTGAGGGTTTAACTGTAGTGCAAGTTGGGTATAGTTGAATGGCTTCCTTTCCAATGCTTGGAGACAACCAAGGCTCAGCTCTCCACTCCTGGTCTGTGTGCTCTAATCCGAGGTGGCTGGGACTGGGTCCATGGCTCTGTCTTCTGGTCCCCCAAGGTCAAGCCCCAGCAGAGCTGGAAGGGCCAAGGTACTCCCAGACTGCTGGCAACAGCACTTCATAGGGAACAACGGGAAGGGCTGTGGGCATAAGTGCTCCAGCAGGGACAACAGGAGTGCAGCAGACAGGAGGCAGTCTGGCGGGGTGCCACAGGCAAACATGCTTTAGATGGATGGTGGTGGGGTTGCAGGCAAACATGTTCCAGTGGGAGGTTGTCAGCAAATGTGCTCCAGTGGGGCAGTGGGGACCGCTGCTGAAAGCACAATGGCAGTGGCTGCTAGCAAAAGCATTCCAGCAGGGTAGCAGAGACCACAATGGATGTGTGTCTGTATGTTCAGGCAGGGACTCTGGGAGGGGCTGGCACGCACATTACACTCATCCCAGTCCCATGGGAAAGAGCCCCTGCTTTCTCCAGGTCAGGGAGATTACACAGGTCAGAGCCGCCCATTCCTTTGGAGCTGTTCAGGGCCTGGAATTTGTCCCAGTGCTCGGCAACCCCATGTGTGGTTCCCAGTTTCCTCCCCCTTCACTCCCGGCATATGGGTCATCTCTCCACCTTCTCTCAGTGTGTTCTCTCAGATGATCTGTTTGGAGTATGCCCATTTACTCTACATTTTGGTCTGTCTCATGGGAGTGCCTACCCAGCCATCTTACCCAGGTCCCTAGATTTTTAAAACAGTGGTTTCAACCTAGCTTCATCTTCCATTTCCTAACCCTTATATTTCCATCTCTCCTCTCACAAACACATTAAGCCTAATTTTTTCACTTATTTTGCATCTATTTATTCTCTAGATAAACTTCTACGCTGCCTCATTTTCTTTCTGGAATGATGTGTACTATTAATCTTTAATTAAACTTGTTATTATTATTAATTTAATTAAGCTTTATTCTTTTAACCAGTTGGTTTGGGAAAACCTGGTCTTATAGTAACAATACATACCAGATTTGAAATTTCTTTTTCAAGGAGAGAAAAATTAAAATGTATGTAAAAATTTAATTCATTGAGTTTCACCTATTTGAAAATCTCACCTTCATTTAATTACAGAGCAATATTTTACATTTTGTGGCTTATTTTTTAAGAAACTGGTTAAGTCTGTGCTATTTCAGGGATTTCTTTATATCTGAAACAGAAGGACTGAAGAACTGTCAAAAGTATTTATCTGAAAGCAACTGATAGATTGCTTAAACTACTGTTATTTTTGCTGTGTTATTTCATGCATTCATTTTTGGCAGGCAATGAAAAATGAGCACAGCCTTCTTAAAATCAGTTTTCTTTCATTCTAAAGGTATTGTGTAAAGTTAACCATACCCTTCAGGTAAATGTATAGTATATAAAACTTCAATGGAAGACAGATTGACACAATCCAGTCCTTTCTTAAAGAAAATAAAAGTTACCCAAGGATATTTTAGTCAAAAATGTGAACATAGTCATTGCCACATATCAGTTCTTGAAAATCAGACATCCCTTCCTGCATTCTGGCAGAAAGCAAGAAAAGCTATGAACTTTGCAAAAGTAAACAAGAATAAAACAATATTTATTACCATATTTTCTTTAGTTTGTCAATTTCAATCTCATATCTAATTTCATAAAAGCATGATGCAGAGATTCTCCTGAAAAAAAGTAATTGATCCTAGTTACTAAGTTAGACGACACACTTATAATTTTGATTTTTCACCCTATCAGAGTAAAGCTTTTACTATCACTCAGTCACTTGTGCGAAAAATATTAACACTATCAAAAATCCAGTTAACACACTCCCTCTGCTGGTTAACAGCTGTCTTCCTCAACCTTAAGGACATCCAAGCTCATCATCTCTTCCTTGAACATATGGTTCCCTTACACACAGATTTCCTATGTTATACTTCTTTATAAAAAACCAAGTTACCTAATTCAGCTATGAATGAACGAGTAAATAAAAACTTCTTTAAAAGTAGGTTTTTTTTGAATGGCTCATTATTGAATTCATGCTAACAACAAAACCTTCCTTCTTTCTAAATTCAAACCATTTTGAGAAATTTGATAGCACTGAATACATTTTTACCCTCCTCTATTTTATCCTTCAAATTAATCTGGTGAAAAATACTACTTTTTTCTTCATTCACAATGGTCACTTCTAAAAATGTTTACTACAGTTTTACTGCTTCTTAAGATAGCTAACTACATAACCTTTGATATCATAGAATACTTCATAAAATATTTGGAACATTAAATGTAAAAACTAAAATGTACACAAAAAATTATTCCTTGCATTCCATCTATTCAAAAGACTCATCGTCAGTTAATTAATGCACAATATCTTTCTTTTATTGCTTTAATCTCCATCCTGATAACTGCCTTCCCAGTCTAGGTCATCTTCATTTCCTCCATTTCCAGTTCTTTCCTGGCTCTGATGCTTGTAATTACACTGATACAACAAGGAAAGTTTCCCCAAACCAGGAAATCATCCCTAAACCAAGATAATAATCTCACTCCCTTGCTCATAAACCTATAGTCATTTTGAAAAAAAAAAAGAAACACATATAGTTTATTTCCTCCGTTTGCTTTTAAGGAAGCTATAAAACCCCTAAAATTAGTTACAAAATCTTTGCCTCTTTATATATGTGTATACATATGTATACATGTTTATACATGCCTCCTATCTCCGGAGAAAGGGCTGCATAGATTTCATTCAGTCATCAAAAAGATTCATGACACCCCTCCAAAATATAAGAACTTATTTCTTGGCCAGACGCAGTGGCTCACACCTGTAATCCCAGCACTTTGGGAGGCCGAGGTGGGTAGATCACGAGGTCAGGAGATCAAGACCATCCTGGCTAACACGGTGAAACCCTGTCTCTACTAAAAATACAAAAACAAAATTAGCTGGGCGTGATGGTGGGCGCCTGTAGTCCCAGCTACTTGGGAGGCTAAGGAGGGAGAATGGCGTGAAGCCAGGAGGTGGAGCTTGCGGTGAGCTGAGATCATGTCACTGCACTCTAGCCTGGGCGACAGGGCAAGACTCTGTCTCAAAAAAAAAAAAAAAAGAAAAAGAAAGCATTTCTTCTGTGTCTGCATGTACCTTGCCCTGCTACACATACAGATGATGTATATCCTTACTGGATAGGTCCAATATCCTTATTGGACCTATGCTCTGCTAAGTCCTATGCCTGGAATGGCCTCCCCTTCCACACTCATCTAGCAAAGTCTGTCCTTCCTTCAGGACACAGTAAAGTACCACCTTCTCCATGACGCTTACCCCAACTACTCTAGCCCATATTGGACACTATACTTTCTGAACTCCTATTACACTTTAAACAGTAGCACTCTATTTTAGCACTTAATCATTCTCTAATTATTTTCCAGTTATGATCTAATAACAATTTCCTAATATTTGTTTCATAAGTATTGATTTTATTTCCCCAATTAGACTGCACATATCTTTGTCATATCTCTTAGTATATCTTTTTCATTCATGTGATTGTGAGTTTCCTATGGGAATTCCCATAGGAATTTCCTATACCCATTCCCAATGCCCAGCAACACATCTAGCACAGAGACTCCCTAAATGTTTGATGAATAACTATAAATTCTCTGAAGGAAACTAATATGGTTTGGCTGTGTCTCCATCCAAATCTCCTCTTGAATTGTAGCTCCCAAAATTCCCACATGTTGTGGGATGGACCCAGTGGGAGTCAATTGAATAATGGGGCTTCCCCCATAGTGTTCTCGTGGTAGTGAATAAGTCTCATGAGATCTGATGGTTTTCTGAGGGGTTTCCCTTTTTGCTTGGCTCTTATCTTCTTTCTTGCTTGTGGCCATGTGAGACGTGCCTTTTGTCTTCCATCATGATTGTGAGGCCTCCCCAGCCACGTGGGGCTGGGACTGTGAGTTCATTATACCTCTTTTTTTAAATAATTACCAAGTGTCAGGTACGTCTTTATCAGTAGCGTGCAAACAGACTAATACAGAGACAAACATCTCATTATTATGCTTCCTTGAATTTACAGGTATTCAAATAATATTTATGGGTTTAAAAAAGATTTTGTTAAAATACTCACAATCTAAGCTTTTCCTTACTTGGAAAATAAAACAACAGGATATGCCATGGCATGTCTTGGAAGTTATAAGGACTAAATACTTCAGTCTCTAAGGAAGATGCATAGTTCACTACAAAATATTTAGAATTATACAGGAAAAAAATGGATGACAACAGAAAACCCAAAATCTTAGTTTTGTGGGGATAACATCCGTATTTCCCATAGATGATGTCAGAGCCTGATGGCAAGTTTTCTGATTACAAGACATAAAGTAATGTCTTATTACATGGTTTTCTCTTTGGCCTCAGTGCAACAGTTTACTGTCTCATTAAAGGCTGTCCAATATAACAAAATTTTTGCATTAAAAGATACGAAGAGCAACAACAAAAAAGGCAGAATGCAAAAGACCTCAGTTCAAGTTCAAAAACTTGAATGCATTAATGTAAAACAAAATAAACTAGTTATTCTCAAGCCTGAATACCATTCAAATTAACCGGAAAACTTTCAGAAAAAATACACATACCAGGACCCCAACCCCAGACTTAATTACCATAAGGTGAGGTTTTTAAAGCTCCTCAAGTAATTCTTTTTTATATATAATTTCAACATTTATTTTAGATTCAAGGTGTGCATGTACAAGTTTGATACATGTGTATATTGTGTGATGCTGAGGTTTGGGGTACGATTGATCTTGTCACCCAGGTGGTAAGCATAATACCCAATAGGTAGATTTTCAACCCTTGTCCCTCCCTCTCCCACATCTAGGAGTCCCCAGTATCTATTGCTCCCATCTTTATGTCCATGTATATCCAACATTTAGCTCCCACTTACAAGTGAGAACATGCAGTATTTGGTTTTCTGTTCCTGTGTAAATTTACTTAGGATAACGACCTTTGACTGCATCTATGTTACTGCAAAAGACAGGATTTCATTCTTTTTTATGGCTGCATTGTATTCCATGTATACATGTACCACCTTTTCTTTACCCACCACTAATGGACAACTAGGTTGACTCTATGTCTCTGTTATTGTGAATAGTACTGCAGTGAACATATGACTGCACTTGTCTTCTTGGTAGAATGATTGATTTTGCATTGGATATATACTCAGTAATGAGATTGCTGGGTCAAATGATAGTTCTGTTTTAAGTTCTTTGTGAAATCTCCAAACTGCTTTCCACAGTAGCTGAACTAATTTACATTCCTACCAGCAATATACAAGCATTCCCTATTCTCTGCAGCCCCACCAGCAAAATCATTGTACAAAAATCAGCAGCATTTCTATACACCAATAACCTTCAAGCTGAGAGCCAAATAAAGAATGCAATCTCATTTACAATAGCCACAAAAAAATAAAGTACCTAGCAATACATCTAACCAAGGAGATGAAAGATCTCTACAAGGAGAACTACAAAACACTGCTGGAAGAAATCACAGGTGACCCAATAATTGTAGCGTAAGGTTAGATTTGAGAACCTCTGCCATGAATTTAATCAAAATTGTATCTCAACAGTGTTTTCTGAGATAAATAATATAACATAATAAACTTTAAATTCTGTAATATATATTCCAGATATGAATGAGAAAAATGAGGGAGGGAGTTATGAAGGGAAACAGGGAAAGGAAAGACTAGAGGAATCACAGAGGAAGAGAAAGGTAAGAGAGATGTGATATGGTAAAACTCAACCTTAGCCATCATCAGATCAACAATTAGAAAAAAATATTGCTCTAGAATTTTACAGCCTCCCCGATATTAGCTAGCAGGATACTGGCCCTTCCAAAGATCATTTAATTAAATTGTCTCATAAGTCTTTTCTTCCAAAGTCCCTTGATATTCACATGTGGTTCTCAAATATAGCTGATAATCAGATGCAATTCAGATTTTTCTTTTAAATATAAATTTCTTATTCCACTCCAAAGGATTCTGATTCAATAAAACCACGATGGGGTTCAAAAGTTTATTTCATAAGATGTTTTCCAGGCATGTTACCATCTACTGATCTAGATTATTAGGTAATGAACTCCTTAAGGGTAAGATCATGCCCACTTCAGGGTTTCTCAAGTACAGCATACTAAAATGATAATGCAACCCTACTGTATTAGTCTGTTTTCACACTGCTGAGAAAGACATACCTGAGACTGGGCAATTTACAAAAGAGGTTTAATGGACTTACAGTTCCACATAGCTGGGGAGGCATCACAATCATGGCGGAAGGCAAGGAGGAGCAAAGTCACATCTTACATGGATGGCAGCAGGCAAATAGAGCTTGTGCAGGGAAACTCCTGTTTTTAAAACCATCAGATCTTGTGAGACTTACTCACTATCACCAGAACAGTACAGGAAAGACCTGCCCCCATGATTCAATCACCGCCCATTGGGTCCCTCCCACAACACATGGCAATAAAAGGTGAGATTTGGGTGGGGACACAGCCAAACCATATCACCTACCATGTCATCTACTTACCAAATCAGATTTTTGGAACAGGGGAGGGTGTCTTGAGATTGAGTATTTTTAACAAGCACTTCCAAGGGATTCTATGATTAAGGAAGTTTTGGAAATACTGAACCAGGGGGAAATAAATGCAATGCAGGAATAACCAAATAATGCTTAGACCAATAAATACACAGAAGCAGTTAGTTAATGCAGATTGAAAGGGATGAAAACAGTGCCTTAGATGTAAAAAACAAGGAAGACACTATTTTGCCAGAGCATATGGGAGAGTAGTTAAGAAGCATAGCTTTTAAAACGAATCATTCTCATTAAATCTGCTTATTCCTTCCACTTCAATTAGTGATTTTAACTGGCTAACAATAAAACTACACATATACTGATATCAAATAAAACAAAAATGCCAATTTATAAAGATGGAAGGTAGAAATTACATCCAGAAAACTCTGACTAATGAACACTACCACAACTGAACTCAAAGCTTTGCCCTGAGCTTCCTAGCAGCCTACGCAAAGGGTAATATGATATGTTACACAATTCTCATTGTCTAGTAGAAGAAATCACAACAATTCATCAATAGAAACAAACTTTTTTTAAACCTGTGTGTTGGAAAAAATTTGTCCCAAGGGTCTTAATAGAAGGAACATTGAGAAGGTAATGGCCATGAACTCTAAAGCAATAAAGAACAAAGAATGTCATTAAACATATGGCTATTTTTTATATCAAAACCTTAGTAAAAACAAAGGTCACAATGATTTCATAATGCTATAAGGACTTCTGGTAACTTCCTCCAATAGAATAATGATTAATATCACATAATAACTCAAGAAATCTTAAGGATTAAGTTCATTAAGCCTGTGGTTTCCTAAATTAATTTTTCTGCTAAGAAATGTAAAGTTCCTATACTGCTAGAACCTCTGAATTCGGACCAGGAATCTATACGTAGAACAAATGATTCTCAGATGATGGTGGAGGCACCACCTCCTAGAA
Organism: Homo sapiens; assembly: GCF_000001405.40. NCBI lineage: Eukaryota > Metazoa > Chordata > Mammalia > Primates > Hominidae > Homo > Homo sapiens. Next base: position 18,788,445 of record NC_000010.11, on the reverse strand, counting down.
ATGTCATTGTCAAAAGTCAGTTGCTGGCCAGGCACCGTGGTGGCTCACATCTGTAATCCCAGCACTTTGGGAGGCTGAGGCAGGCAGATCACAAGGTCAGGAGATCGAGACCATCCTGGCTAACACGGTGAAACCCCATCTCTACTAAAGATACAAAAAATTAGCCAGGTGTGGTGGTGGCCGCCTGTAGTCCCAGCTACTTGGGAGGCTGAGGCAGGAGAATGGCGTGAACCCGGGAGGTGGAGCTTGCAGTGAGCCGAGATCCCACCATTGCACTCCAGCCTGGATGACAGAGCAAGACTCTGTCTCAAAAAAAAAAAAAAAAAAAGTAAGTTGCTGCTGCTTGAGTTGTTCTGATTCAAGACAGCAGAAGATAGCAAGGGACTGGAAGGTACATGGTTGAAGGTAAGAGGAACCATGGTCTCTGGGATCAGTTTGTCCAAGTGTGGCCCATTCCCTTTGGTAGCTTGCTAGAAATGCATATTCCTTTGACCCAACTCAGAGCTGGGGACTCCTTAGTGGTGGAATACAGGAATCTGTATTTTAAGTAATACAATTGCACAATAAAGTTTGAAAACTTCTATACTAGCTAATGACCATATTAATGGAGAAGAAGGAATAAAAAGATATCTTAATATGAAAAGTGACATTCCTGGCCGGGCACAGCAGCTCACGTCTGTAATCCCAGCAATTTGGGAGGCCAAGGCAAGTGGATCACCTTAAGTCAGGAGTTTGAGAGCAGCCTGGCCAACATGGTGAAACCTCGTCTCTACTAAAAATACAAAAATTAGCAGGGTGTGGTGGTGCACACCTGAAATCCCAGCTACTCGGGAGGCTGAGGCAGGATAATCGCTTGAACCTGGGAGGTGGAGTTTGCAGTGAGCCCAGAACGCACCACTGCACTCCAGCCTGGGAGACAGAGCAAGACTCTGTCTCAAAAAAAAAAAAAAAAAAAGGAAGAAAAAAGAGAAGAGAAGAGAAGATAAGAGAAGATTCCTGACTTGAAATATAACTATGGGGGAGGCCTGCTGGAGGAGTTTTCACAAACAGAGCCAAGATCTCTTGGAGAACAATTTCAATTGTTTCAGCCCTCAACCCAGAAATCAACTGAAAGTTGCGTCATGCCTGATGAATAATTAAAATTTCCAGCACCTTTCAGCTCCAGGAAATGTCCTAATATAGTATCAGTTGGCACCCCAGACCTATGCTTCCAAATTTAATCATCCTTCCTCAGAAATCCTTCTTAACACCAGAGCCAGACGAGACTTTTTAGTTCATCTAATTAAATTTTCTTAGTTTAAAAAAAAAAAAATCTGAAGGCAAGGTCATGCCCAAGGTGACACAGCTAATTTTGGCACATAGAGCTCAAAACATCAGGTCCCTAATACTACCATAGACAGTTCTTTCTATTACAGACTTGCTAATTCAAATTAAGGTTATCGGTTTTTTAATGAAAGGCTGAACCTAGGGGTTATGAAAGCAAGAACTTAATTCTTTTAATATACTACTTTTTATCTACTAGGAAGATACTGGCCTGTCCTCCTTAAATGTTAATTTTTTTAAGGGAGGGGATGGGACTTGGCTTAATACTGGCTTTGATTTTGGTTTTTGTTTGCTGTTTGTCATGTTGTGTTTTGGTTTCAGCGATAATACATTTGCTGATCCAGCCAATCTCTTTACCCAGACTCCACATTTATCAGTTTACCACTTTGAGTGGGAGTGAAATCCAAGCCTTTGAAGAAACTGACCCTAAAGGGCTGCTTGTTGATCCTGAGTACTGCCTTGACCTTTGTGGTATAATGTTATAAAAGCCCGGACGTCTCTGCATCAAGCAGAAACCTATCCCACAGTAAAAACAGTTCCTTCCTGACATTTTCTAACAATACTTCCCAGCCTTCCTGGTGTGAATTAATCCTGCCTATAAATGAGTTTAGCCCAAATAACCTAAATATAGCTCTAGCCCTGAAATGATACATTTTGACCTTATATTCAAAACTAACTCAGAAAGAAATAACTCTTTTTCACTAGAGTTATCTACTATTGTGTTATTCAGAAGTCTTCCTAATGATCTACAGATCTGCTTCTAAAAGGATGCTTTCAAAGTGAAAACCTCAAAGTAAACACTAATTATTTTTCTGAAACTTTTCGTGAGTGTATATACATATACATATATGTGTGTGTGTATGTATATACACTTTTTCTTTTTCCTTCACTTACATTTATCTGAGCATCAGCCTTGTTAGAGGTTGATTGGAGGGGTCTTAAAAGCCTGCTAATGGAAGCTCTGAGTAAGAGAAAACATTAGCACACATCTCGGGAAAACAGGCTTAGCAAACAACTCCTACGCTTACCAGAGGCTGGGAAGCTCTGATGGGAAGTGCTATTTTACCTGAGATTCTATTCCGGGAAAGAACATGTTTAGTAAAACTTAATGCAACTAATGCCATGAACAGACATGCCTTGTTCAGATTTGTGGAATTTTTAAAAAACTATCAAATGGGACAATCATAAAGAACAAATTCCACCCAAAAAAATGTTGAAGTTTGGTATAATTTCTATCATCATGATGCCACATTTGTAAACTAGGATAGGTAGAGTTCTTCTTAACAATTTTCATTCACTATGATTACATTTTTAAAAGACCACTTACACTTCAGGAGATATAGCCAAAATAGAAGCTTTTCATCTATTGGCCATACAAAACGGATCAATTAATTATTTACTAGATGTAATGCATTGTTTTCTGTACTACCAACTGGAAAGAATTCTTTATATTCATTCAAACATTACCTATAAGTCTTCTTTGATTCTAAGATTCAGAATACAAATAATAATAATAATAAAATTTGAGCTTTTCCTCTCTGGAGTCTGTTGACATGTAAGAAAATAACTACAATTCTTCGTGGTAAGTGCTAGAAGTTGTTTAGATGCAAACGAGCCTTTGAAATAATCAACTCCTTTCCTAGGATGAAAACAGATTTATTTCAAAGCCCTCTCCAAACTGAGGTTTATAGGATGAGGATTTGTACAACTCTGAGAAGGCCTTCCCAGCAAAGAAAATGCAGGACTATGGATACAAACGCAGGCTTTAGCATGCTGAGATGACGATTAATATTTTGGTACGTGTGTTTGTGTGCATGTGTGTGTCTCTGTGTTTGGAGTGGGAATGGAAAGAGATTAGGGCAGAAAAACAGAAGCCAGATTCTAAAGGGGTTTATATGTTCAGTGTTCCATGCAATGGTCTTTTTCTAAAAATGTATTCCATAAGTGCTGGGAGTTAAAGAGAATCAAAACTAAAAAAGTGGGCAAGTGGCGGTGGGGACAAAGACAATGAAAAATATATACAGTATATTTATCTGGCTGTTACCTGTGATAATCTGTGGAGTTTAACCAGAAATATGTCTCTGTTTCTGGAGTTAACATATCTGTGAACAGAGGTTTGAAGCAATCCTTAACTTTTAGAATCATAGTGAATTTATTATAAAACTATAAATTTTGGAATGTTTTAGGGCCAATAAATAATATCTATGCTGTCTTGAAGTTAATATTTATGCATTCACTGAACTTAGATGTTTCTATCCCTTTATGTCTGTAGTCTCTATCTCTGTTCCACATTTTTATCATTCTACATTCTGACTTCTACCAATATCCAGCTGCAATGGGGCTTCAATGGTTCCTGAGTCATTACTCTTCCTTAGCAGCACCTAGAGACTTCTGTAAAGCAGCTCAGGTGAATGTCAACTAAACACTCGTCTAAAAATAAAATAAAAATACATAAATATGTATTGAGTGCTTTAAACACTGAACTATAAACATCCAATGCTAAAAACAGAACAGAAATATAAAAATGCAATTTGTAAGGGCTTTTCAAGGTCTAAGAGAAGTAGTGCTCATAGAACACAGATTGATGAAAATATTGACTTCCAATCGGCCCAATCAGTCCACCACCAATTGTCTCACTTTCAAAGTGTGAGGCTATCCAGAGCAATGAAGCAAGAGAAAGAAATAAAAGTCATCCACATAGAAAGAGAGGAAGTCCATCTATCTCTTTTCAGAGAGATATAATTCTACACCTAGAAAACCTTATCATCTCTGTCCATAGGCTCCTAGAACTGATAAACAACTTAGCAAAGTTTCAGAATATAATACCTAGTAATAAAGCTTACCAAAGGGGTAAAAAATCTCTACAATGAGAATTAGAAAACACCGCTCAAAGAAATCAGAGATGACACAAACAAATGGAAAAACATTCCATGCTGATGGATAAGAAGAATCAATAATGTTAAAATGGTCATACTGCACAAAGCAACTTACAGATTCAACGCTATTCCTATCAAACTGCCAACATCATTTTTCAACAGAATTAGAAAACAAACTATTCTAAAATTCATATGGAACCAAAAAAGAGCCAGAACAGCCAAAACAATCCTAAACAAAAAGAGCAAAGCTGGAGGCATTACAGTACCTGACTTCAAACTATACTATAAGGCTACAGTAACCAAAACAGCATGGTATGGTATAAAAACAAAAACATAGACCAACGGAACAGGCTAGAGAACCCAGAAATAAAGTTGCCCACCTACAACCATCTGATTTTCAACAAAGTTGACACAAGCAAGCAATGGGGAAAAGACTTCTATTCAATAAATGGTGCCGAGATAACCAGCTAGCCATATGCAGAAGATTGAAATTGAACCACCCTTTCCTTTCACATAAAAAATCAACTCAAGATGGATTAAAGACTTAAATGTAAAACCTAAAACTCTTTTTTTAAAAGCCCTAGAAGAGAAGCTAGGAAATACCATTTTGGACACTGGCCTTGGCAAAGAATTTATGAGTAAGTCTTCAAAAACAAGTGCAACGAATACAAAAGTTGACATGTGGGACCTAATTAAACTAAAGAGCTTCTGCACAGCAAAAGAAACTATCAACAGAGTAAACAGAAAACCTACAGAATAGGAGAAAATATTTGCAAACTATGCATCCAACAAATGTCTAATATCCGAATCTATAAGGGACTTAAACAAATCACAAGCAAAAAACAAACAACCGCATTACAAAATGGGCAATCGACATGAATAGATACTTCTCAAAAGAAGACATGCATGTGGTCAAAAAGCATATGAAAAAGTGCTCAACACTAATCATTAGAGAAATGCAAATAAAAACACAGTAAGATACCATCTCCTACTAGTCAGAATGACTATTATTAAAAAGTCAAAAAGTAGCAGATTCTGGCCAGGCTGCAAAGAAAAATGAATGCTGACACACTGCTGATGGGAATGCAAATTAGCTCATCAATGAAAAAAAGTAGTTTAGAGATTGGAAGGCAGTTTGAGAATTTCAAAGAACTTAAAACAGAACTACCATGTGACCCAGCAATCCCATTACTGGGTATATACCCCAAAGAATATAAATCATTGCACCATAAAGACACATGCATGTCATATGTTCATCGCAGCATTATTCACAATAGCAAAAACATGGAATCAATCTAGATGCCTATCAGTGATGGACTGAATAAAGCAAATGTGGCATATATACACCATGGAATACTACTCAGCCATAAGAAATAACAAAATCATGTCCTTTGCAGCAACATGGATGGAGCTGAAGGACATTATCCTAATCTCATTAATGCAAGAACAGAAAACCACATATTCTCACTTATAAGTGGGAGCTAAACATTGAGAACACTATGAACACAAAGAAGGGAACGACAGACATTGGAGCCTACTTGTGGGTGAAGACTGGGAGAGGGGGGAGGAAGAGAGGAGGGTGAAGATGGAAAAACTACCTATCAGGTACTATGCTTATTTCCTGGGTGATAAAATAATCTGTACAGCAAACCCCCACAACACACAATCTACCCATGTCATAAACCTGTTTATGTATCTCCTAAGCCTAAAATAAAAGTTGAAAAAAAAGTGAGAGGCTATATCATTCATGGTTGGCTTCCAGGTGTCTGTTAAACTGAAGCAATTTGTCATTAGTCCACTAAAGAGGTTTGAAACTACATCCAGTTAATACTTCATACTATGGCTATTGAACTGTCATTGGATGATTAAACAGGTTTAGAACCAATTTTGTTAGTTTAATGGTTGCCATGAGCATAGAGCAATCGGTCTTTTCCTTAAGTTTATCTAAAGAGAAACCCTATTCTAAGACTTTTGGCTCCATGACTTCTCAAATCACATCACCATGGGCTAAAGACTCATAATCTTTTCTTGTAGCTAAGGTGTCCTCTGCCAAGTTTCTGAAATGATTGCATTTTTTCCTGGCCATACAGCTAATCAGAGTGGTAAGTTAACTTCAAGTGAAAGAAATAGCTCTAATTTAACCCAAACTACTACAAAGACAATTGAGCCATCCACTTGTCCCTGACACAAATCAGAACAAACACCAAAAATATTGCCCCTTTAGCAGCATCTCTTGGTCCCTAACATGAAAAGATCACATCTTCTGCTACCACCTGGTCCACTTCAATGACTGCCCAACCCTTAGCTAAGTCTCCAACAAAAAGATAAATGGGCTGTGGCTCAGCAAGTGTAGAAGAAGCTCAATACCAAAATTAGTAGGCCCCTCAAAAGGAAGGAGGCCTTAAACCAGAGATAAATTCTAGAGAGATGCTCATCTCAGAATATCTGCTCTTTACAACCCTGATGGAATATCAGTGTTTGACTAAATTAGAGAAAGCATGGTGTTCTGCCTCATGTTCAGTCCTTGCATAACCATCCTGAGTTCCAGCAGACCCTCCAAGTCTGGGTCCGCCGAAAGACTCCTTTATAGTTACAACCCCTTTGTAGAAATTCCGTTATAAAATACTGAGAATCTTAAGGCAGTTAAGTTGTCAGATGAGCTTTAGAGATTTAGAGGATCTTGGATCCTACCTTTCTATCATTTTCTTTCCATTCTTACATTATCAGTAGAAACAAAATCTGTTCTGCCAATCTTCATAAACTGCTACTAGTTTATCTTGCCAATTAATAACCATTAAATGTTCTTGTAACTTAACAGTACAGGAGTCACTAATGTCATCAGTAAAAATAACCCATCATTTTGCCAAGTCAATGCATGGCTCATCAGCCAACTGAATCTCCACCGCAGATCAGTATCTAAACCCATGGGTACCATGCTCATCGGAACAGCTTTGTGCAAATGATACAGAGATCTCAACTAAACCCTGTAGGTGAGTGATATAAAAGCAGCATTGTAAAACAATTACAGAAATGAAAGCCTAAGTTAAATTACTCTCAAGCCCAACATGTTCCTATAAGTAATTTGCAGAAGGCTAAGCAGGACTATGAGCATAAATATGCTCTATAAAGTTATTCAAGTGAAACAGAAAGGCCATTTTCTGGCCTAAAGCAGTGTATAATTAAATGGTAGAAAGTGAATGAACAAATTAAAAACTAGATACTACATAAAAAGAAAACCTAAGTATAGCTAAATACAATTACTCATCCTTCAGCTCTCAACTCAAATACCAGTTCTTCAGACAAGTTTTCCTGACCACAATCAGTGCGTTCTTGCTCTCAGAAAACTGTTATGACCTCCTTCATCTGGTATTCCCAGTTGTTAAGTTTTATATGTATGCAGGATTACTTGATTAATGTCTACCCTGCACTGGCCTGTAATCTCCATGCAAGTGGAATCCGTGCCTGGTTTTTGCTCACTATTGAACCCTCAATATCTAGTCTAATCCCAGCACCTACTAAAATATCTCAATATATATTTATGAATAAATGATTAACTGTAAAATGTCTCCATTATGTTTTTATCACCAGTTATAACTTTGAAAAAGTATGGAAAGAATCCACTAGCGGACTAATACTAACATTAGGAAATCATATGTGATGGTTAATATTATGTGCCAACTTGACTGAGCTAAGGGATGCCCAGATAGCTGGCAAAACATTATTTCTCCGCGCATCTGTGAGTGTGTTTCCAAAAGAGACTATCATTAGAATCAGCAGACTGTGTAAAAAAGATCTGCCCTCACCAATGAGGGTGGGCACCATTCAATGCCTGAACAGTCAGAGCCTGAAAAGAATTAAAATGTGGAGGAAAGGTGAGTCCTCTGTCTTCTTGAGCTGGAACATTCATCTTCTCTTGCCCTCGGACATCTCAGGCCTTCTGACTCAGGACTTATACCAGCACCCTACCCAACCCTTCCCATCCTCTGTTTCTCAAGCCTTCAGAATCAGATTGAATTATACCAAATACTTTCTTTGTTCTCCACTTTGCAGATGGCAGATAGTGGGACATACCAGCCTTGCAATTGCATAAGCCAATTTCATATATATATATATATTATATATTGGGTGGTTTGTTATGTAGCAACTGGAATTGGAACAGCTACCATATAAGGAAAAGTAGATTGGTTACACATTTTATTATTGTTTAAAATTTTAATACATATAATGTATATATATTAAATTATATAATTTATATAATTTATAATATATAATTTATATATTATATATTTATAAATATAATTATATGAAATATATTGTATATAATAAATTATATATAATAATTTAATATAATTTTATATATAAATGTTATATTTATATATGTATAGAGATATACACACACACGCATATATCTCCATCGTATTGGCTCTGTTTCAATAGAAAGCCCCAATTAATACATCCTGAAAACACCACTCCCCTCTCTCTTTGCCTGTATGTCCTGAGCATCCTAAAACGTGGATTAAAAATACCTAACCATTTGTATAGACATTGTATAGAAATACAAAGAAAAAATTTAAACAATAATAAAATGTCTAACCAATCTACTTTTCCTTATATGGTAGCTGTTCCAATTCCTATTGCTATATAACAAACTACCTAAAACTTAAAAGCATAAAGCAACATGATTATATCATGCACAGGTTCTTTAGGTCAGGAATTCAGACAAAGCAGAGTGCACTTGGCTGTTTCTGCTCCAAGAAATTTACAACCTCAGCTGGAAAGACTAGAAGGTTGGAGGTGACTCAATTCCTTGGAGCCAGAATCATGCAGAGGCAACTTCACTTGCATATTTGGCCATTGGTGCTGGTTGTTGACTAGAACCTCAGCTGGGCAGTTGGCTGAAAACCTACAGTAGACGCTCAAAGTGCCCTCTTAAAGTGGGCTAATTTGCATTTCCTCACATCGGGGTATCTGAGCTCTAAGAATGAGCATCAAAAAAAAAAAAAAAAAATCCAGGCAGGAGCTATAGCATCTTCTATGATTCCCCTTCAAAAGTCACATGGCCTGGCTGCACAGTCCCTAGCCCATCCAGATTCAAGGCCACTCTTGACCCTAGCACTTAGTGGGAAGAGTGTTAAACTCATGGTGCAGGTTGGGAAATGCTGCTGTGGCATTTTTGGAATACAAAATCTTCCACATTTTGCTTCAGTTACCAAAGAAGCAAATATTACCAGGTGAAATGCCAAACATCATCTTTAAGCATAATTTGTTGCCCAAATCTTGTCACTTTGTGAATCTAAGAAAATCTATGAATTGTGCATTTCTGAGGCTTCTTCATGGCCCCTATTGATAACTTTGCTTTTGTATTAGTTTTTAGCAGAAATGCAAATCCTAAAGGAATAAAAACTGAAACCCTGACAGAAAAATGGATAAATGTAAATCACCATTGGAAGAAGAAAAAAATGATTAATAAACATGAGAAAACTATTAACCAAAATGTGCAAAGTAAAACAATAAGATGATTTTTATCTGCCAAAATAACTGAAAAAATGACAACATCAGCAAGAATTCTATTACAAATGCTGATAGGAATGAGTATTAGTTATCTATTGATGTGTAACAAATTACCCCCCAAATGTAGCAAATTAAATATTTATTATCTTACCGTGTCTGCAGGACACGAATCCAGGAATGGCTTCACTGGGTGGTCCTGGCTCATCAGCTCTCATGAGGAGGCCATCAAGAGGTTGGCCAGGGCTGCAGTCACTGGAAAGCTGGGTGAGGAATGAAGGATCTGTTTGCAAAATGGCTCACGCTTACAGTTGTTGACTGGAGAACTCAAGACCCTGCTGGCTCTTGGCAGGAGCCTTCTGTACCTCACTTACCACATGGACCGCTCCTCAAGGATGCTTACACGTTCTCATGATATGGCAGCTGGCTTCTCCCAGGGCAGGAGATCTAAGAGGAAGCAAAGCAGATGCCATCATCGCCTTTATGACCAGTCTGTGTTTCTGTAACCACATGTTGGTTTACATAGGTTGATGCTATTCATTAGGAAAAGGACTACATGAGGGCAGAAACACCAAGAGGTAGTTATGTTTGGCATAAGCATCAAAAAGTTGGCAGAGTCACTTTGGATAGCAATTTTACACCTTGTATCAAAAGACTTAAAAACGTTTTATTGCACATATATATATAAAATCTCCAGGGTAGGCAGATTCTAGAAATGGAAAGCTCATGGTTTCTGTGGTTTACAGGGGATGAGGAAAAGGCAGAATGGACAGTGACACTTGAATGGGTATGGAGAAGGGAGGCAGCAGAATGTATTTCTGAGGACTTGAAAATGTTTAAAATTAGATAGTGGTGATGGTTGCATAACTTTGTGAATAAACTTTAAAAACAGCTGAACTGGAAAAAATGTTTTATAGCGCAAAGTTAGCATTCGAAAATGTTTTTGTCGCAGGAATTGTTACCAGCCATGAATCCATACGGGTCCGAGGCAACCTCAATTCTTGCCTCCTCAGAAGAGTTCAACTGAGAGGGATAAGGCAAAAAGGAGAGGCCGAGGCAAGTTTTAGAGCAGAAGTGAAAGTTTATTAAAAATCTTTAGAACAGGAATGAAAGGAAGGAAAGAACACTCGGAAGAAGACAAAGCAGGCGAGTTGAGAGATCAAGTGCCCCATTTGACCTTTGAGGTAGGGTTTTATATGTTGGCATACTTCCGAGGCCTTCCGTCCCTTCTCCTCTGATTCTTCCCTGGAGGTGGGCTGTCCGCATGCGCAATGGCCTGCTAGCACTTGAGAGGTGAACATGCGCAGTGTCTTTACTGGAGTTACATGCACGCTCACTTGAAGTGTTCTTCCCTTACCAGTCAAATATACTTAGGAGGCCATATACCAATTAACTGCTGCTATTTGGCCTCTTAATGGGCATGCCTGTGCCCACTCACCCAAATCCTTAGATCTTACTGGGAACCTGCTGATCACCAGTTTCAGGTGTTTTCTATCTATTAGGAGGCTGCCTTTCCCTGACACCAGCTGTGACCAATTATTTTAGAGAACTAGTGTAACAACAGTCTGACCACCGCCTGATGGTCACCTGACATTCCTGGTGGGGGTGGGGGGCCTCTCCTGCCCTGCTCATGCCTGACTAGCTACCTACCGTAACAGAATGATTAAATGAATAAATAACCCAGTAGTTCCAATTCTAGAAATCAACTCAGAGGAAACAATGAGGTGAAGATGACAAAAATGTATATATCTAGATGGTCATTACCCATTATTTGTAACAAAGATGAAGTGGAAATTGAACCAAATGTCCAAATAAAGAAGTAATTAAATAAATTATAACACATTATATCCTGATTATTTTGCAGCTATTAAAAATTAAATGTTCAAAAAATTTTAATGATATGGTCCTGATACAATGTTAAGTGAAAAACAAATAAAGAAAAATATATAATTAAATATGATTCCAATCAGTTGTATTCATATGGCAGAATAAAGAATTCTGGAAGGAAATATAATACAGTTAACAATAGTTGTTTCCAGGTTGTGAGTTATAGGTAGTTTTTCTTCCATCTTTCTGCTTCTCTGTACTTTCATGTTGTTGATATTGCCACTGTGTTGTTTTTATAATTGGAAATATAATTTAAATGTTCATTTATTACTTTTCCTCCCAGTGTACTTTCTTTTTACCAACTCATGCAGGCCTGTACAACTTTGGCACTAGGTCATAACTAAACTTCTGCATTTTCCTATCATGTTAATATTGAAATAATATGCATATGGAGAAACTATATTCCTTATCCTAAGATCTACAATGACTAGAAGGTCATCAATATACACAGCAACTTATCAGACTATATTTTTGCTATCATAAATCTGATTTTATTTACACGTCACAAAACTTGCAACTTAAATCACAGCAATCACTGCTTGAGTAAATATCAGATGATATTACTGCTTGAGTAATATCATTTGAAGACAAACAGATCTTTTCATTTCGGTTTTATTTCTTTTTCTTTTTCCTTCCTTTAGGTAAATCTAGTGAGTCAAGACTTCACAAAAATTAGTCTGGTGTTTTATCTCCTAGCAATTCTGAAGTTAACTTGCCTGTTGTGTTTACATATAGGAACACTAAAGTCTTTCACTTAGAAATTCTAAGTGTTGTTACAAATGGTTTATTAAGCCACATATTCCTGCATGGAAATGAAATAACTCGATTACATTAGATAACACGAACAAGAATTAAATGACCAACAAAATTTCCAAAGCAAATTCTGAAAATGCCTGGAAAGAGAAGTGTTTTTCCTGAAAAGACAGGCTTCTTTCATCAGGAGCCTTGAATATTCTTCTCCTGTTTTGCAAATAACCACAAATGTAAGAAAGAGCTTGAATCTTTGCACTAAAATACCCAACATGTCCAAAATTATCTGTATAACAAAGAAAATTTCAATTCTCTTAAAAATAAAAGTTATCCTGATCTATTACACTTTAATGACTATTCTCCGTTCTTCTTTAAAAATTTATCAAATAAAAGTTTACTCCTATGTATCCACCTTGTTTGAAATAAAATGTGCTTTAAACCAGAACAAAGTTAAAAAGAAATTATAATAAGGACAAGACCAGTAAAATGTTTTCAAACATTCATTTTGAGATCTTTAATATCTTCTCTCTCCCATCATTAAGCTCAGAAACACAAATCCAGTCAAATATTATATTAATGGAAATGTTCTTCCAGGGTTGGTTTGTAATCTAATAAAACTATTAGAATTTTTATAAAACAACTTAAAATTTTCCCCCAAAGAAAGACGAAAACGACATACTTAGTAACCAACGCCGAATGAGAGATTGTCTTTTCTTTAGAAATGTAATTCCCCACTTAAATAAAGAGTAAGAACTGAGGAAGTGATAAAAATCCTCTTCCCTATAGTCTTTTTATGTCTTCAAATATAAGAATGGAGTATTCTTAAGATAGCGGAGCTAAAAACAGGCTATTTATTGGCACATTAGCAAGTTACCCAAAAGCTTTCTGGCAAATTGCCCACCATATAAGGAAAATGTGTGGATTTTGCTACAAATCCTACCATCAACTAATGTGTTATGAACAGAAGGCCTCATATGGGTTCAAGACATAGTATAAATCAATCATTTACACTTACAATTCCAAATTGCATTTCTGACAAATCAACACCTCAAGATGCACAAGTTATTCCTAGAAAATATAAAAACCTATCATTTTAGAAGCATTTGAATAAACAGATTTAAGTTTTCTCTACTCCTTTAAAATCAAATCACAGAAATTTTTAAATTTATCTCCCATCATTCTATTTTAAAAGTATATTATATATCTTTAATTCAAATAACACAATATGTTAAAGAAAAAACAGTTAAAAGCTATCCAGAGAGTGATGCTGCCTGTCTTCCCATACATTATAGATTTTCCAAATATTATCTGTGTTTCTTCATAAACAGCCCCTTTACCCATCCCAGAGGCAAAAGGATTTAGCAGTTTTAACAGTACAGACTGTGTCATCAGTTTGCCTGATTGGATCGAGGCTGTGCCACATGCCACGGAAAAGTTACACAACTGCTCATTGCCTCAGTTTTCCGATCTATAAAATGGGTGAGGTATGTACAATTACACCAATATGGGAACGATTACATTTTACATACCTCATTAAGAGTTTTTCCAAGGAGTAAATAAGTAATATAATTATGGTAAAAGACAGAAAAGCATCTGGCACATCATAGTGCTATGTTTTGGGTTTTTTGTTTTGTTTTGTTTTTTGTTTTTGGTGACAGGCTGAAATTTTTGTATTTTTTGTAGAGACAGGTTTCACCATGTTGTCCAGGCTTATGTTATTTTTTTCTAATCATTTCTGTCCTCATTGCCACAACTTGAATCCAAGAATATTTCATTCCCCTAAAGCTGCTAAATCAGTCTCCCAACTGGTCTCCCTAGCTTCTTGCTTCTCAGCATCTAAAGCACTCCTTTTTTCCAAGAAATTAATAAGTAAATTTATTCATTCACAAGTCTCTTGCTCAAATAACTTCAACAGCTTCTAATTTCTCTGGGAAAAAAAAATAAGAGCAACCATTTCATCTTTATAGCCTCCCATAATTTAGTGGTAACATGTCACTCCTAACATTGTCTTTCCCTGCCCCACTTAAATCAATCAGGCTGTGTCCTTCTCTCCTTGAGCTTCATGCCCGTGTCCTTCTCCCAACACTCTGCTGTCCTGCTTCTCCTTCTGGAATGTCCTCTCACCAACCACTCTGTCGACCCAACTCCTATTCATTCCTAAAGACCAAGTCCCAATTCATTCATAAAGCCTTCCTGTATTACCACAAACCCACACCGATCTGACTTACCCCACACATATATACTAAAATTCCTTCTCTAGTGGGCCCATTTGGGTCCTTTGCTATGTATCTCCCTGAATTTTAGCGTTTTGGTGTAGAATTCTCCTGTAAACATAAGAGTCCTTCATGCTTAATTTTTAGCATCTCCTCATTTCCCCCCACAAACAATTACCCTGTTTCTCTGAGGATTACAACTATGTTTTACTCATCTTTTGTCAGAGCCACAGCTAAGCACATAACAAGTACTACATGGAATTGATCTGAATATTTATGATCCCTGTCTACGCAGATGCCATCCTATTAGCATCTTTCAGATAAGGCAGTGTCTTGGAGCTGAAAAAAGTGGAGTAATTCTCTGCTGGGGAGTTCACGAAAAAGGGGACAAAATTAGTTTGTTGATTATCCCAAGTTTGTATCTGGGGCCTAAGGAAAACAACGGGGCCTCAGGAAAATAATAGCGCAAACATGGGAACTGGGAGCTCAGGCAGCTGTCATGGTGTCCTATAGGGAATTACTAATGGAATAGATTTCACCTGTTAAAAACCTGTCAGAGGGTTGAGGCTTGACTCCAGCAGTGACATGGTGACTATTTTAACTTTCTCCTGTCAAACGGCTTGGTTTAGAATGTCTTGGTTTTTTTCCTCCCAGTAATTGGGTCTGTTTGATTGAAGGAAGGAATCACTTTATTGTTGTGGAGGTGGCACCTTGGAGTTCTGCCCATGCCCTGACCTCAGGCCCCTTGGAATGGCAGGGGAAAGTTCCACCCCAATCACTCCGGCCCCTCCACTGTCCCAGAAAGGCAGGTATTCTCTATCATCTGCAGCCTCAAGGATGGAGACGCAACACTTCCCTCCCTTCTGAAAGCCTCTCTCCATTGTCTTCCCACCTCAGTACCCTCCTCAGCTCTTTTCCAATCTCAACCGTAAGCTCCCTCCCCACCACCTTGCAGTTGTCTTTCCTGTGTGTGCTGGTACTATTCACAATGTAGGAGAGTTACATATTTATTACCACTCAACAGACAGTTCCTTGAGGTCAAAAATGATAGTTTTTTCATCTGTGTACCCCTAGAAATGCCTTACACATTGTACATTCTTTTTGTTTGTTTGTTTCTGGAGATCCTAGTCTCACTCTATCTCCCAGGCTGGAGGGCAGTGGCACTATCTCAGCTCACTGCAACCTCCACCTCCCGGGTTCAAGCAATTCTCCTGCCTCAGCCTCCCAAGTAGCTGGTATTACAGGCATGCACCACAGCATCCAGCTAATTTTTTTGTATTTTTAGTAGAGATGGGGTTTCACTGTGTTGGCCAGGCTAATCTCAAACTCCTGACCTCAAGTGATCCACCTGCCTCAGCCTCCCAAAGTGCTGGGATTACAGGCATTAGCCACTACACCTGGCCACATCTTGATAAACAAATAAGTAAATCAACAAATAAAAGAATGAGAGGATGAATGCATTCTTCAACATTTGTCATTTTAGAGAGAAAACTGCTATTTCTCAACACTGCTGGGACGGAGGGCTCTGGCAAGTAGGGTGAACTGATGATACTAAATGCAGCCCTCTCACTGACCATAAGCACAGAGCAAAGCTGCCTGCAGACACCAGATTACACATTCAGAAAACCAGGGACACCTCTAGGAGATACACAAGTGCTGATCCCCCGCTCATAACAGAAGGACTTCTCAAGGAACTAAAATCTCTTTCTAACCATAGTTAGGGAATAAGTAACCGGGCACTGGTGATGTTTCTCATTTAAGATATTTTACCCTAGAATGGGATTTCCTGCTTAGGTGGTAAGCCGTTTGGGAAATGACTGCAACAATATTCTGTGCAGCAGAAAGCCCGTTATCACCTCAGAGATAATAGCAATGCCACCTCCAAAGGTAGCAATAAGAAGTTAGTTTAAACTCTTATGAAAGGACTGAGATTAAAGACAAAAATAATAGCAATCTTTGGGGGAAATCTGTTCCACAACCTTGAATAAGGGAAAGAGAAAAGATAGCAGGTCGTATCTCTATGGATTACTAGTCTCTACAGTCAGTGATTTGAAGTGCAGCAATGGTGTTTTATCCTTTTCAATGAATTAATTCTTACATTATACATAGGCCTAAATTAAAAAAAAAACAGTTGGGTTTTATAATGAAGAGAAGGGAAGACTGCTGCCAAGAAGTAAGGACCTGATTCTTTCTCACTTACTAGTTTGCTCAATGTTTCTCAGAAATCATGTTTAGGAACTTCTCATCTGATGCCCCTACTCAGAAAATACAATTGACTTTTGTGCTTTCAAACAACAGACATTTGATCAATGTCAAAGAAATTAATAAGTCTAGCAATACTGACAAGCCTAAATTATAGAAACAAATTAATGGTATTTCAAACCCTACCATTTGCATGTATTTCTTCATTTTTCCATGAACTAAGAGATTTAATGTTTAAAAGTTTTTTAATATTTTAACTTAGAACATATAGAACCCATAGCAAAGTACAAATATAATACACACTGTTCATCTTCAATCCAAAACACTGCCTAAAATGAAATATATCTATAAATATATAGATATAAAATCTTCTTTGATTATAACAAAAATACATTTGGTGTTTGGTGTTGTTACTATGTCTTACAGGTTAGAAAGCTTAGGTGCAGAATTACTAAGCACAATGTGCAAAGTCATATAGTTCACATGCAGTAAAACTCACATTCGAACTTTTCACTCTTGAATTAATAAAATGCAAGTACGGCCGCGAGTGGTGGCTCATGCCTGTAATCCCAGCATTTTGGGAGGCCAAGGCGGGTGGATCGCCTGAGGGCAGGAGTTCAAGACCAGGCTGGCCAACATGGTGAAACCCCATCTCTACTAAAAATAACAAAAACTAGCCGGGCATGGAGGCAGGTGCCTGTAATCCCACCTACTTGGGAGGCTGAGGCAGGAGAATCGCTTGAACCCAGGAGGTGGAGGTTGCAGTGAGCCGAGATCATGCCATTGCACTCCAGCTGGGGCATCAAGAGCGAAACTCCATCTCAAAAAATAATAATAATAATAAAATGCAAGTAAATATTGAGATCTGGTTGATGAATAAATCAACTTTTATTGGCCAGGCACAGTGGCTCATGCCTGTAATCCTAGCACTTTGGGAGGCTGAGGTGGGTGGATTGTCTGAGCTCAGGAGTTCAAGACCCGCCTGGGCAATGTGGTGAAACCCTGTCTCTACCAAAAATGCAAAAACATTAGCCGGACATAGTGGTGCCTACCTGTAGTCTCAGCTACTCCAGAGGCTGAGGCCTAAGAATTGCTTGAACCCAGGAGGCAGAGGTTGCAGTGAGCTGAGACTGTGCCACTACACTCCAGCCTGGGTGACAAAGTGAGACTCTGTCTCAAAAAAAAAAAATCAACTTTTATTCAACTATGATATTATTCAAATATTCTAGGGCTTTTTCCTCAAAATAAATAAGAACATGATTCATCATAAATGTTACAAACGACATCAACAAAGCTCTCTAAATGATGTGAAAAAGCAAATAAGCTGAAAGAAAGATTTTCCAACAGCAATAATAACAACAAAAAGTATCTCCCTTTGAGTGGTATTTCCAAAGCTTATTGCTTTGAGTAGTAAACTGTGCTTTTCAGAACACCAGTTTTAAAGGATGTTGAGATATTATGTGGGAATAAAAAGAACTCAACAGAAATCCTTTGCTTCCTATACACTAACAATGAACAATCCCAGAAGGATATTAGAAAAACAATTATATTTACAATAGAATCAAAAGAGGATAAAATGCTTAGTAATAAACTTAACTATGCAGGTGAAAACTTGTACACTGAAAACAAAATGTTACTGAAAGAAATTAAAGACGATATTAATGATATGGTTTGACTGTGTCCCCACCCAAATCTCACCTTGAATTGTAATAATCCCCATGTGTCAAGGGCAAGGCCAGGTGGAGATAATTGAATCATGGGGGCGGTTTCTCCCATACTGTTCTTGTGGTAGTGAATAAGTCTCAGGAGATACGATGGTTTTATCAATGGGAGTTCCCCCGCACACACTCTCTTGCCTGCTGCCATGTAAGACGTGACTTTGCTCCCCATTCACTTTCTGCCATGATTGTGAGGCCTCCCCAGCCATGTGGAACTGTGAGTCCATTATACCTCTTTTCTTTATAAATTACCCAG
This sequence comes from Homo sapiens, assembly GCF_000001405.40. Lineage (NCBI taxonomy): Eukaryota > Metazoa > Chordata > Mammalia > Primates > Hominidae > Homo > Homo sapiens. Next base: position 18,769,712 of record NC_000010.11, on the reverse strand, counting down.
TCTCAGGTGTGTGTTTATTAGCAGCATGAGAACAGATTAATACAATCAGCAAGTGAAAGACAACTCATGTTTATGAATTGGAACAATCAATATTGTTAAAATGTCATTACTACCCAAAGCAATCTACAAATTTAATGCAATTCCTATCAAAATCCTAATGGGATTTTCTGAAGAATTAGGAACAACCATGTTAAAATTCATATGGAATCTCAAAAGACCCCAAATAAAAAAATCAATCTTGAAAGAAAAGAACGAAGTTGTAGGTTTCACAATTCCTGTTTCAAAACTTACTATAAATCTACCATAATCAAAACAGTGTGGTATTTCCATAAAGACAGGCATATAAAGAGCCCAGAAACAAACCCTTACATATATAGTCAAATGATTTGGACAAAGGTGCCAAGGCCATTTGATGGGGAAAGAACAATCTTTTCAACAAATGATGCAGGGAAAGCGCGATGTCCACATGCAAAGGAATGAAGTTGGACCCTTACCTTACACCACAGACAAAAGTTAACTCAAAATGGATCAAAGATCTAAACATAAAATCTAGAACTACAATGCTCCTAAGAAAACATAAAGGAAAAGCTTGATGACATTGGATTTGGCAATGATTTTTTAGATATGACACCAAAAACAGGCAACAAAAGAAATACAGATAAACAAGACTACATCAAAATTTAAAATTACTGTGCATCAAAGGACAGAATCAACAAAAAGGCAATCTAAGTAATGGGAAAAGTCATCTGCAAATCATAAATATCCAGAACATATAAGTAACTCCTACAACTGAACAAGAAAAAAAAATTTAAAATAAGCAAAGGACTTGAACAGATATTTCTCCAAAGAAATTACACAAATGGCCAGGAAGTACATGAAAACATGTTAGACATCACTAATTAGTAAGTAAATGCACGTCAAAACCACGACGAGATACACCTTACACCCTTTGGGATGGCTACTATTAAACAAAGATGCAAACACAAAATAACAAGTATTGGTAAGGATTTGGAGAAACTGGAACTCTTGTGCACTGTTAGAGCAATGTAAAGTGACACAGCCACCATGGAACGCAGTATGGCAGTTCTACAAAATATTAAACAGAATTACCAGATGACGCAGCAATTCTACCTCTGTGTATATACCCAAAAAATTAAAAGCAGGTTCTCTTTCATAGGATGTTTGTACACGCATGTTCATAGTTGCATTTGTTGCATTTTTCATGATAGCCAATAGTTAGGAGCAACCCAAGCGCCCATTGATGGGTGAATGGATAAACAAAATGCAGTACATACAAACGAGGGAGTATTATTCCACCTTAAAAAGAAAGAACATTCTGACAGATGCTACAACATAGATGAACCTTGAGGACATCATACTAAGTGAAAGAAGCCAGTCACAAAAGGACAAATACTGCATGATTCCACTTACATGACGTGCCTAGAACAGTCAAACTGATAGAGCCAGAAAGTACGATCATAGTTGCTGGAGGTGAGGGGAGAGAAACGAGAAGTTATAATTCAATGGGTATAGTTTCTGTTTTACAAGATCAAGAGTCCTGGAGATGGATGGTGGTGATGATTGCGCAACAATATGAATGTACTTAATGCCATTAAACTGTACACTTAAAAATGATTAAGACATTATGTGTATTTCACCCCCAGTTAAAAATAATAATAAAGTAAAAATAAAAAGAATTCAGTTAGCAAAATTGCTTGGGAAATACAAGATTACACTAAGAAAAACTGATATTTTTATTAAAAGATTTCTTGTTATGCCTGTGACTCTGCAAAAGAGAGACAGTATACATAGTGTTTTTCAACCTTCTTTTGTCCACACAGCATTTAATTGGCAGTGTTTCCGTCTGTGTTACTATTCTGTGGGAAACTTTTGAAAACATTGCCTTGGGGGATATTGGGAAATGGCATTCAATCAGAAAGAGAATTTTAATATCTAAAAATGAATTCATTTTATTAATGGAAGAACTGGTACAACATAGGTAAGTAGAGATAGTCACTAAAATGATGAATGATAGAGTAGTATATTGTATTGAAGCAGCCTTGAAATGCTGAAGAATAAGTTATGAAGGACAAGTTCACATGTATGAGTCCTTTGGGATCCAATTAACTTCCCACCATTCTGTGCCATCTACCATTTTCTAAGTGCCTTCCATATATCTCACAAGATGAGGCACATCACCTATGTTATCTAATTTGATTCAATCCTCCCAACAGCCTCATGAGAATTATTTTATGATCACCATTTTCTGGATGAGGAAACTGATGCTAAAAGAGTTTAGCTACCAAGTTACTCAGTACACAAGTGAGGAACTGATCTCTGCCCCATCTATGGACTCCAGAGGCCAAGTGTTCATTCATTACTTTGTGTACCTGAGATCACAGCAGCACTGACATTAGCAGTCACATGTGAACCAAATTCCTAGGCACAATGAGTAACAAGAACAAAACAATACTTTACATTAATTATTGTTGTGATAGAAAGATAGATGTGCATGAATATTATAAGTATATATACATGTTTCTACTTTATCCAACAACAGTTTTTTGTTTTTTTGTTTTTTGAGACATAGTTTTGCTCTTGTTGCCCAGGCTGGAGTGCAATGGCATGATCTCGGCTCACTGCAACCTCTGCCTCCTGGATTCAAGCAATGCTCCTGTCTCAGCCTCCTGAGTAACTCCTGCCACTATGCCCGGCTAATTTTTTTGGTATTTTTAGTAGAAACAGGGTTTCACCATGTTGGCCAGGCTGATGTCGAACACCTGACCTCAGGTGATCCACCCACCTCGGCCTCCCAAAGTGCTGGGATTACAGGCATGAGCCACTGCGCCCAGCCCCAATGGTGGTTTTAATTACCATAAATAATGTTTATAACACAAAAGATAAATGCTTGAGGTGATAGACATCTCATTTACTTTGATGTGACTATTATACATGGTATGCCTCTATCAAAATATACCATATACCCATATGTATACACTTATTATATACCCACAAAAATTAGAAATGAAGAAAAATAATAGGTGAATATGGTATTTTTTCTTTTTAACATTTCAAAGCTGAAAAATCCATCAATCAAAAGATTCAACACTATACCTAACTCAAAAATTTTGAAGTTTGCAGTTGAAAGTGAGGTAGTCATTTTCCAAGTTAACTCAGCAATTGTAGAACATACCCAGATATAGATAACAGAGAGATTCAAAATGTCTTCATAGGCCGGGCATGGTGGCTAATGCCTGTATCCCAGCACTTTGGGAGGCCAAGACAAGCAGATCCCTTTGAGCCCAGGAGTTCGAGACCAGCCTGGGGAATATGGCAAGACTCCACCTCTATAAAAAATGCAAAAAAATTAGCCCAGCATGGTGATGTGCACCTGTAGTCCCAGCTACTCAGGAGGCTGTGTTGGGAGGATCACCTGAGCCCAGGAGGCAGAGGTTGCAATGAATTGTGTCCACACCACTGCACTAGAACCTGGGTGAGAGAGTAAGGTCCTGTCTCAAAAAAAAAAAAAAAAAATGAGAGAGAGTCTTTAGGCCTTCAAATATTTGCCTTATCTGTCCAATTTCTACTAATCCTTCTGACACTTACTAATAATTGTAGTTCTAGAATGTCTTCCTAGTGGAGGTCTTGCACAGATATGCATTATTTACAAGAAGCTGATGCAAGATTGGCTTGATGCAAGGCTATCACATGGTCTCTTTTTCTCTGATGCTTGTCTTGGTCTATAACTGGACCTGCAGCATCCTAGAACAGGAGAGAGATGGCTTGCATCCAGTGATACCCTAATAGATGGTAAAAGCTGCAACATTGTGTACCAACACTGAAAATCTCATGACCCAAAGATTGAAGAAGAGTGACCCATAAGACTCACTGGAGGTGAAGCTGATGCAGATAACTACAGACAAAACCCTTCTTCCTCTAGTACCAAGAAAGCTGAGGCTGGTGCTGATTCACAACAGAATTTAGGCTAGTTGTAAATCTCATCTAGGATGTAGTCAGACACCTGTAGAGAAACTATCGAGGATTGTTCCATGGACAATAAAATTTGGGGAGAAAAAATAAAACTTCGTATGTCACCTTCCTAATAATGCCTTTTCCTATTTAAAATTATAAAGCCAGTGTCATTTTCCTGGTCTGTTTTTTCTAAATACCACCATCTAATATATATTTTACTTATATTTTTATTGTCTATATCTTCCCTACAGAATGAAAGTTCCATAGAATTTTTTTCTTTTTTGTTCACTGAACCATCCCCATCACAGAGCACAAAAGCATACATAGTAAGCATTCAGTAAATAATTGTGAGTGAAAGAATGAATGGCCATCAATATCATACAGAAATGTTTTATCCAAATGGATGACTATGTTGCATTTGTCTTATGGATTCATAGAACTTACTTCTATTCAGTACAATTTATTGAGCTCCTCAGTTGACCAGTCTGGAAGGATAATCTTACAGGTCCCTTTCTATATCCTGCTAAAAGGTATCAGATAAATAAACAAATTAAAAAATAAGTGAGTACAGTAAATCACAGGGGATTACAAAGCACTCCCAGACAGATGGGTCAGTGTGTCTAAGGGGTTGCCCATTATAATCTGCTGGATCATCATTCACGGTCCCCTGTTGGCCATATGCTGCTGTCTGAATACTCTGGGACGTTCATTTTTCATTTCAGGGATATGATTACTCAGTTTCAGTCTTTGCTGATCGCATTAGTCCATTCTCACACTGCTATAAAGAATTTCCCGAGACTGCGTAATTTACAAAGGAAAGAGGTTTAATTGACTCAGAGTTCAACATGGCTGGGGAGGCCTCAGGAAACTTAACAATCATGGCGGAAGGGGAAGAAGGCATGTCTTACATGGCAGCAGGCAAGAGAGCAAGTGTGTGTTAGCACAGGAAAAACGACCACTTATCAAGCTGTCAGATCTCATGAGAATTCACTCACTATCACAATAGCAGCATGGGGGAAACCACCCCCATAATCCAACCACTTCCCACCAGGTCTCTCCCTAAACTCCTGGGATTATAAATCATGATGAGATTTGGGTGGGGACACAAAGCCTAACCATATCACTGATGCTCTTGCTTTACGAACAGACTTAAAATATTTATATTTCCAGAACAAACTTCTGAGCTTTAGATATATCTTAAACTGTCTATGCAACATCTCCATTTAGATAGTTAATAAGCATCATGAACTCACACATCCCAAATCAAGCTCTTGGTCCCAGCTGCACCCATACCACACTGATTCTTCCACACTGTTCTGTATTTCAGCAAAGGGCAACCTCAGCCTACCAGATGCTCAGCCCAGAAGCATCAGTTGTCCTTGCCGTTTCACTTAACATCACACTATACTGTCTGAAGACCTATCAGCTCGTCCTTCTAAATACATCCTGAATCTGACCACTTCCACCACGTCAAAGCCACAGTTGCCTCTTTTCTATAGAGATTGCTCATAGGCCTCTCTTTTTCTGCTCCTCATCTTGATATTGCCTATTTTCCACACAGCAGAGTCAATCTTTTAAAACAAACCAGGCATGTCCTTCCTCTGTTCAAAACCCTGTAATGGATTCCTGTCTCACCCTGGGTGAAAAAAACAAAATAATCAAAGTGTTCTAAAGCTCCTACACCATCTGCACCACTAGCCGCCCAACCTCCCTGTCTCCTCTCAGACCACTCCTAACCTCAGTCACTCTGCTCCATTCCCATCTGCTTCATCACTTTCCCTGGGCAATGCCCAGAATGCTTCTACAACACCTTGGCACATGTGATTCTTTCACCTGGAGCATCTTTTACCTCTTAATGGCAGGCTGGTTCTGTCCCCTCTTTAGGTCTTGATTCAAATATCTCAAACTTGGAAAGATTTCTCTGACCACCCTATATAAACCAGGTCTTCTTCCGGTGTTTTTAGTTTTATTTTTTACTGTGTGTTTAAAACTGGAAATTGTGTATTGTATTTGCTTGTTTAGTGTCTATGTCACTTCACTAGAAAACAAACTCCATGAGGGTAAGGACTTTGTTCTATTCACCACTTTGTTCCCTAAAATAGTGTCTGACACACACAAAAAGCTCAAAAAATATTTTACATGAGTAAATGAACATAATTACCGCTGTAATTATGCACATGATTTACAATTTGTGTAATTTACAATTTACTTCATTGCTCTAATTAAATCCTTAAAATTGAGTATTATCATTTTGGTCATAAATGGCCACCGCTGGACATAGGTGAACAACAATTATTCTTTTAAATTATAACACAGCCATTAATGGAAAAAGATATCATTTAATTGCTGCTTGTATACTGCCTTACAATTTAAATGAACCCTTGTTCCAGTGATGTCTTGGTCATTTGGACTGTGAAAGAATCTGAAAAAATAGATCAGTGTCTAAAATCTTGCTAGTCATTGTTATTTTCCTCATGATTTAATGACAAACAACAGAACTGACAAGTGCAGCTCTGACTTTACTGATTTGAACCACCGTATCACAGTCATGTTATTGTGTTATAGTACATTTAGGATTAGGTAAATTTATTATTTTTCTGCCCACACTATGATATGCATTGTGAATCAGTAACATCTCCTTAAACTTCTTTCAGCCCAAAGACAGGAAAAAAATATTTATAGCTGTTTCTTTTCATCTAGAAATTTTTCATCTATATAAAACCAAACTGCATAAAAATCATACAATTTTTACACCTTGTCCAGTAACAGATTTTATACTGCAAATGAGGTGTCGCCTCGGACCCTTGGGGTTGTCCATCCTTACTCAAAATCCTTTCTCAATGTCAACCCACCAGATCTGGTCTCCTGAGTTGAGCCTAGGTTCAAACCCTATTGTTGTGTCTTCTCTGTTCAAAATGTATTTTTTATATTTTGGCTGGAACCAACATGCTAACTGATCCAGGCCACAGTATAACTTAGCATGGAAACTTTGAAATGAGAAATCTCTTTTGTCATTACTCCAATCATACCACATAGGGAGTTATTTATTATAACTAAATATTTTGAGCGCCTACTCAGAAAGCAAATAGAAAGTGACTGAGTACAGAATTAGAAAAGTAGTTTAAGCAAATTCCAGCAATCTCCTGAATGAAATAGCAAGTGATCACTAAAAATGATATTCGCGGCCAGGCACAGTGTCTTACGCCTGTAATCCCAACACTTTGGGAGGCTGACGCAGGCAGATCACAAGGTCAGGAGTTCGAGACCAGCCTAGCCAACATAGTGAAACCCTGTCTCCACTAAAAAAAAAAATACAAAAATTAGACGGGCACGGTGGCGTGCACCTGTAATTCCAGCTACTCGGGAGGCTGAGGCAGGACAATCGCTTGAACCCAGGAGTCGGAGGTTGCAGTGAGCCGAGATCACGCCATTGCACTCCAGCCTGTGCAACAGAGCAAGACTGTGTCTCAAAAACAAGCAAACAAAAAATGATATTCATAAAAGGTCATGTAGCAAGATATAAAAATATATATGATTTTAAGTGAAAACTATAGCTATAATATTGCATGTGCCTTATGACTATGTCTGTTAAATATGAATATGGATTTAGATAAGGACTGGAAAAAACATGAAAACTAAATGTAATTTATGTGTCAAAATGTTCACATTTCTTTCATTTAAATTTTTAAATTTTATAGTAATTTTAAATTTGAAATAATTTGATTTTACACACCATCATTATCAGTGTTTCAGTAATGTGTTGTCTTCTAGGTTTCCTTTTGTAATTACTCTATATTCTTCAAAAACATAGTCTTATAATATTTTTTTGCTATTCTAACCTATCGTATTTTATAATACATCACCAAAAGTCTAACTAGTATTTTCCCTACTAAACATGGAATATTTTCAATGAATGAAATAGCAAATAGCATTAATTTTTATTAATTTTAAAATGTACAAAGTTCCTTTGGAGAATTTAAATCATCTTCCTGTTGTAATATTTATTCCATTATAACTTTTCTGTCATTAGCTTTAATGGTATGTTTTTCTGAAAGCAATTCTGATCTCAAATAAGCATTTAAATTATTTATTTATTTTGACTGTGGCATTCACTGCTAAAGAAGAACATAGCTTTATCATTTATAAAAATTATTTATAATTTCTCCATCTTCAGGATTCATCTGAAAATGGCAGATTTAATGCAACTTCTGTCAAACTGTAACTTGAAGAGATATAGAACACAAAAATACTATAAAATCTTAATCCAATGAAGTCATGAATTTCTACCAGTAAAATGTATCCCTCTGCTTGATGTTTTATTTGGGCTGCAAGCAATTTTGATAAGCCCTAAATATCCATTAAAAATGTTGACTCAAAAGTCAAATTTGGACAATTTCCCTTACAGAGAAAACACTTCCAATGTGTCCTTATTTTAGAGCAGTTTAAATACCTTTCCCCAGTACTCCCACTGTAAAATAACAGTTCTGCAAAATGAGGTTCCAGCAAATAATTACATAGAGTTGAAAATAAATCCTGCTCTTTCGAAGAAGCGACCGAAGAGTATGGCTCCTGCTCAATCTCTGATCCATTCTTGATGGAGTGGGAGTGATCATCAATGGTGTTGCTGTGGAAACTACACAGTAATCACATTTCTCAGCAGTAGTGGATCAGTTTCCCAGGAGAACTCCAAGCAGCAAGATACTCTTCTAGCAAAAAGCATTTAGAATGACCCTTCCATTACCTCTGCATGGGCTCACCAGTGGAATGAGGGATGCCCAGGGTGAAGCATCATCAAGTTGATTAATCATAGAGCCACAACCAGCATTTTATGGATACGTGAGAATGGCAAACACTTCCATTCCAACACACTAAAACCCATTCATTATTTCTTCCATTCATTCTTTGGAAACAAAATTTGTTGAGTACCTGCTATATACAGGTCAGGCACTCTTCCAACACTGAGGATATACTTTCAAACAGAAAGCCAACATCTCTGCTATCAGAGAGGCTACCTCTCACTGGAGAAAGGTAGCCATCAGTCAACTGAATCAATAGATAATTAATATTGATAGGTGACTTAAAGCAGGGGTCTCCAACCCCCTGCACCACAGACAAGTACTGGTCCACACAGCAGTTAGGAACAGGGCCACACAGCAGGAGGTGAGAAGTGGGCAAGCGAGCAAAGCTTCATCTGTATTTACAGCTGTTTGGGGCCACTCACATTACTGCTTGAGCTCTGCCTCCTGTCAGATCAGTGGTGGCATTAGATTCTCATAGGAGCATGAACCCTATTGTAACCTGTGCATGCAAGGGATCTGGGTTGCAGGCTCCTTATGAGACTCTAATGCCTGATGATCTGTCACTGCCTCCCCTCACCCCCAGATGGGATGGTCTAGTTGCAGGAAAACAAGCTCAGGGCTCTCATTGATTCTACATTATGGTGAGTCGTATAATTATTTCATTATATGTTACAATGTAATAACACTAGAAATAAAGTACAAATCAATGTAATGCACTTGAATCATCCTGAAACCATCACCCCACCCCTTTCTCTGATCCACTGAAAAATTGTCTTCCAAGAAACTGGTCCCCAAAAAGGTTGGGGACTGCTGCTTTAAAGAAAATAAAGGTGAGTAAGAGGATGAGTAGTGAAAAGGCTGGAAGGTCCCATGTTTTTGATTGAGGGGCAGGGAAGGACTCTGTGATTAGGTGACACTGAGAAAACACCTGGATGAAGTAAGAGTGTGCTAACAAGTTATCAGGTTAAAGTGCTTCAGGCAAAAGAAGCCCTATATGTCACAGCCCCAGAAGACTTAGCATGACTAATGATATCACAAAGAAGCAAATGTGGCTGAAGTACTATGGGGGAGGTGAAGATTGCTAAGAGATGCAGAAAGAGAAATAAGTCAAGTTCATTTCATAGAGGACATTAAATGTCATGGTAAGCACTTCGGTTTCATTCTGAATGAAACTATAAGCCATTGGTGGCCCTAGGGTGAGGAAAGCAAGAGAAGAAACTGAAAAACACAATAAAAACTGATTGCTGTAGACCTAGTAAGAAGTGAAACTGCCTTGAACTAAAAATATATCATTGATAGCTCAAAATTAGGATATATTTTGAAGAAAAAGCTGACAGGATTTTCTGATATTTTGAAATATAGGTTTTAAAAGAAAGGTAGGCAACTTTTGACAGCCAAATCTCTGTACTCAGGATGTATCTACCCAGAGGAAAAATAAAGGTACTTTATACATTATATAGATGGATAGATAGATAGATATCATTATACGAAAAAGACACTTGCACACATGTTTATAGCAGCACAATCAGCAACTGCAAAAACGTGGAACCAACCCAAATTCCCATCAATCAATGAGTAGATAAACTGTGAGATACATATATATGTATATATGTGAGATACGTGAGATATATATAAGAAACTGTGAGATACATATATATATATACATATATATGCGATAGAATACTACTCAGCCTTGAAAAGGAATGAATTAATGGCATTTGCAGCCACCTGGATGAGATTAGAGCCTATTACTCTAAGTGAAGTAACTCAGGAATGGAAAACCAAACATCTTATCTTCTCACTCGTAAGTGGGAGCTAAGCTATGAGGATGTAAAGGCATAAAAATGATGCAATGGACTTTGGGGACTCAGCGGGAAAAGGTTGGAAGAGGGTTAGGATAAAAGGCTACAAATTGTGTGCAGTGTATGCTGCTCGGGTGATGGGTGCATCAAAATCTCACAAAGCACCACTAAAGAACAATCATGTAACCAAACACCACCTGCTCCCCAGTAACCTATGGAAATAAAAAAATATAAATAATAATAATATCTCAACAGGATAAGTACGGATAATTTTAAAAATTAAAGTAATGTATGACTTAGTTTACTCTTTGATAAAGTATCAGCTTTATTGAGATATAATTTACACAAATAAAATGTACCAATTTTGATTTTTAAAAAAAGATGAGATAACCACGTGACTGAATATAGACAGAGAAAAGATCCAAAGGCTATCCCCTGCAAGACTGCAATGTTTGAGGTCATGATAGGCTGAGTAGAATCCAGCAGAGAAAATTGCACAGCAGCCACCCAATGAGGTCCATATAAAACAAAAAGGGAGGGCTATGGTGGTGAATAGACACGGACACAGCTTCAAAGAAGGAAACAACCAATGACGTCAAATGCTGTTACTCAGTCAAGTTAAGATGAGGACTGGGAATTGGCCCCTGAATTTAGCTACACAGAGGACGTGGAACAGAAACACTTGTATTAATAGAAGCATGGAAAGGAGGCCCTAATGGAGTGGGCTCTGTAAAGAAAGAGAAGACAGAAAGTACTTATAACCATTTCAAAGAAGTTTGCTAGTGAGGAAGGTAGAGAAATTAGACAAGAGCTGATGGGAGAAGAGGGGGTCAAGAGAAGGTGTTGGGAATGGGAAAGATTTCAAATAGCCTTTATATTCCAGAGCTGTAAAAAGATTCATCCTTATATTATCCCTTTGCAAATATCAGTTATGTAGCTTCATTATAAAATCAATACGCAGTTTCATTATAAAGTCATTAGAAAGTCAAAGGAAAAAAAGCCAAATAGTTATTTTTCTCAATCTTACCATTTCCATGGCAACCTTTAAAACATACTTTTTAAGGACTCTTAAGGTATACTTCCTTTAAAAACTGTCAGAAAGAAATTTTTTTTTAATTCTTGGTAGAAGATCAGCTAAATATAAAATTTAACATTTGGCTTCCCACAAAAATAGTAAAACTATTCATGAAATGGAAAGTAAAGAAAGAAAATGATTATTACCTATTGCACTTCTCATTTTCAGGAGAGAAAGGCTCCTGCCAGTTACTTTATTGAGAATATTTAACAACATAATGAAAGCTGTTAAATGTAAATATCTTCAATAACAATTTATTTCATGTGGCTTTTTTTAAATAATAATCTTCTAAAAGTAAAAGCTTGGGATATATGTTGTCATTCTTTGAGTGAATATCTATGGCAAATTAATGTCATCTACAATGTCAATCTAACTTTCTAATGAGCTAATACAATATCATTTCATATCTTAGGAAATCCAAAAAATGAATAAGGGTCAGGCACAGTGGCTCACTCCTGTAATCCCAGCACTTTGGGAGGCTGAGGTCCATGGATCACCTGAGGTCAGGAGCTTGAGACCAGCCTGGCCAACATGGTAAAACCCTGTCTTTACTAAAAATACAAAAATTAGCCAGGCATGGTGCTGGGCGCCTGTAGTCCCAGCTACTCACTACTCAGGAGGCTGAGGTAGGAGAATTACTTGAACCTGGAGGCAGAGGTTGTAATCAGCCAAGATCATGCCACACTGCACTCCAGCCTGGGTGACAAGAAAAACACTCTGTCTAAAAAAAAAAAAAAAAAAAAAGAAGAAGAAGAAGAAGAAGAAGTATCAGATTCCAACACATCCTCCACTTTTGGAGAAGTGCCACCTATGGTTTAATGGCTTATAAATCCCAATGGCAAGAAGAACAAGAATCCCCATGAAAATCCAATTGTTTTACTCATGTACATGTATATTCCACCATATTATCAGCGCTTAGAAAAGTGCCTGGCTCAAAGTAACTGCTCAGTAAATATCACCTCCAAAATGTATCAAGAATTATTCATTCACTAAAGCTTTTATTCAGTACTTACTACACACCAGGCACTGTTCTAATACAGCAGTTCAGGAACAGAACACTGGGAATGGGTTGTGTATTATAGATATCTTATATAGAAAATTATATACCAAAAAATTTTTTGCCATCATGGAATATTGTAATACTATCTGATAACATGTAGTCTACAGGATCTTTTGCTTTATTAATAAGCTCCTTCAGATTTATTTGCTTCAACCCTCATCACAGCCTAATTCTTGAACCCGCCTGGATTAGGACTTACCAACTTCCTTGGTGATCATCGGCTCACCCTTCCACACAAATGATTGCTGCTGTGATGTTACCATTTTTGTTGGAAATATCAAAAGTTGTCTCAAAACAGAATATAAGCCAGGTGCAGTGGCTCACACCTGTAATCCCAGCACTTTGGGAGGCCAAGGCAATGAAATCGCTTGAGCCCAGGAGTTCGAAACCAACCTGGACAATATGGCAAAACCCCGTCTCCACAGAAAATACAAAAATTAGCCATGCATGGTGGTGCATGCCTGTGGTCCCAGCTACTCAGGAGGCTGAGGTGGGAGGATCACTTGAGCCTGAGAGGTCAAGGTTGCAGTGAGCCAAGACAGCCCCATTGCAATCCAGCCTGGACGACAGGGCAAGACCCTGTCTCTTAAAAAAAAAAAAGAAAAGAAAAAAATTAAATTAAAAAAATGTTTTACACAAAATATAAAACTCCAGTATTTTCTCTTACAGTAACAACTATTAAACAATGTCCTATTTCATTTTCCTATGGAGAGTATTTTTTTATTTGTTTAGGCTCTACTCTAAAATGATGTAAGTATGCCTCCCATGCTGTTATATTTCTTCAGAAGGCTTATAACACTGGGAAAAAATACTCTACTTAACTTTCTAAAGCCATATAATTTCCTCCCAAATAAAACCAAAAGTGAGAACCCAATAGGATGCAAAGCCTCTTCAATGTAATGATTATACAAAGACAAAAAGAAAGGAGAAACATCTGTAGCAGTTTGCTATGTGGTGATGGTGACGGCTAAGGTCAGGATTCCAAAAGAAGTTTCTTATTTCAGGGTACTTCGCTTGTGCTGGGAAAGCCAGAGGAAGAATGAGAACCCAGCACAGAAGCTGAGAAAGGATGAGGCGGCTATGAGAAGACTGTTATTTACACTCCCAGAACAAGGTTATTTCTTAGTCCAGTGAAGCTAAGAACACCCACAAAAATGAAATATCATCAATGCCCAGAATTTAGTCAAGTATATTTTTATCGAGTTCAACTACTCAATGTGAAATGAACTCACAGTGGGGTTATAATCCAGGCTCAGACACTTTAGATCACCAATTTCCCCAGGGCTAAGAAAGGGCATGGTTTTTATACCATGATGTTTTACAGCAGAAGATGTTTTAAATGTGCAATTTCTGGTAAACTTGGGCTTTGAGATTTCTTCCCTATTAATATGTAGATATGGTTAACGAGAAAGTGTTACTAAGAAAGAGGGTCAGGTGTGGTGGTTCATGCCTCTAACCCCAGCACTTTGGGAGGCCAAAGTGGGAGGATCACATGAGGTCAGGAGTTCGAGACCATCCTGGCCAACATGGTGAAACCCTGTCTCTACTACAAACACAAAATTTAGCCAGGTACGGTGGTGCATGCCTGTAATCCCAACTACTCGGGAGGCTGAGGCAGGAGAATCACATGAGGTCAGGAGTTTGAGACCAACTTGGCCAACATGCTGAAACCCCATCTCTACTAAAAATACAAAAATTAGCTGGGCATGGTGGTATGCACCTGTAATCCCAGCTACTTGGGAGGCTGAAGCAGAAGAATCCGTTGAACCCAGGAGACGGAGGTTGCAGTGAGCCAAGATCACACCACTGTACTCCCACCTAAGTGACAGAGCAAGACTCTATCTCAAAAAAAAAAAAGAAAAAGAAAAGAAAAGAAAGAAAGTGTTATTAAGAAACAGATTTTATCACTAAAAAGAAAAAAAGCAAAAATTTTTCTGGATTTTATACTATCTCTCAGGATAAGCATATTATGTCACTTAAAAACTGATGGATGGTCTTGATTCCTTAATACCTAATTGGTCAAAGCCTAGTTACTCATCAGCCCCATACCCATGACATAAGCACACACATACACAAGCCACAACTTAGAATATCCAATATCACATTACTGCTAAATTTTAAAATGCAGAACATTTAGGAACAATAAAAACTAAAAGACAATCTTTTGGAAATCATTCAATTCAGATTTAGAAAGTTAATATAAGCATGAATGTCTTCTTGCCAGAGAAGCAATCCTATTCAGCATTATTTTCAAGGCCCTCAAGTACTATTGTCACTCGATTATGGGGATGACTGGAACGGTCCAGTGACAGATAGGCACTGACTCGACTGCTTTTCTCTGCATATGAGTCATGTTTGTGTGCTTGTAGTACCTTACAATGTGAAGATCATATTTAATAAATACTTTTTAAATTGCACAGAATAAAGTCAGTTGTGACATACACCATTTGTAGATGATGAAGCTTGTTTGAGAAAGGCTAAATAGGTCTGACGAATTAGGATCAAATTCAAAACCAAACCATTTGTCAACATTTAGTCATGTAAATGTCCATGTCTTTTTTTTTTGTTCACGAAATAATATCTTCACAATAAACTGCTGGAGATTCAAACTTTAAAGACCTTGCTCTAATGGCCATGGAAAGTATTAGAAACAGTTTCTACATGGATGGAGAAGTATAATACTAAATTTAAGCCAAAGCCAATAATCCCATGATCTCTAAGTTCTAAAGGGTAGCCACATTTGGACAGAGTTCTTTCCACTACCATTTAGAGACAGGCAAGCAATTTAGATTATATCTTCATGACTGATTAGATTTGTCCATATGAGCCCTTGTTGAATATCTTTTTTTCAAACAGAATTATACACTTTTCATTGTAGTTGTTTTGGTTATGTACGTTATTTCTTTTCTCATTGTTAATATTATGTTAATAAGTATTGTAAATTTTTAAGATATTTGTATCCATTAACTACTGATGAGTAACAAACTACTCCAGAACTTTGAATCTATGGAATTTTGAGAAGTTCTGCTTATCTGGACCAAGCACCACTGATCTGTGGACTTGCCCATGCTTCTTTCATCAGCTGGCAGGTCAGCTAGGGACTGAATGATCTAATGTCCTCAGCTGGGGTAACTTGATGGTGTTTTGTCTTCTAGCAGGCTAGCCTGAGCTTGGGGCTTGTTCTCCTCAGCAGCATCGCATAATGAGGAGTGTGTCCTATAACTTCAGGCTCCCCCACAGAAAGAGAGAGAGCCATCAGTCTCTTCCTTTGATGTTGTTTGGCTATGTCCCCACCCATGGTGAAGTGGCGTCATTGTGTGCGGTAAATACCCGAGGTTCGTCATCTCACGCCAAGGAAATCAAGCACAGGGACACACAAGAAGTGAGTTTAAGAGCAGAGGATTAGCAGGTGAGAGAAAAGAGAAAAGCTCTCTCTCCTGCAGAGAGAGACGGGTTCCCAAGTCGGTCTTCCTGTTCCATGGTTGTATGGGGTTTTATAGGCGGGCTTGAGGAGGCAGTGTCTGATTTACATAGGGTCCAAAAGATTAGTCAGACCAGGTGTTCCATTTACATAGCACACAAAGAAGCTAGCCACCCCATCCCAATCTTTTATTATGCCAGCGGATTCTCTACCTGGTCAGTGCCATTCTGCCTGCCTCTTTACTGTACACGTGGTTGATAAAGAAAAGGGAAGATGCAGCCACCATGGTGAACATGCCTGGCCCCCAGGTAGCCTTTTCCTATTGACACAGCTGCTGGCATTTACCAGTGCAAGCTTCTAGCTTGCTTTTCCATTTCTGCAGCTTGATTTTTCAGTCTGCTCTTTGTTAGAAAAGAAACGATTTAGGGGCTGCTTTTTGTTAAAAAGGTAGCCTTCCTGAGGATCTCTTACCCTTACTAACTGCTTAAATAATTTCTTTTTAGCTCCTGTATCAAAATCTCATCTTGAATTGTAGCTCCCATAATCCCCACATGTCCCCTTGTTGAATATCTTAGGTCAGGTAGATTAGATTTATCCATATGAGCCCTTTTTAAATATCTTATTGTTATATATAAAGTTTCAGTGCCACAAAAGAAACAGCACTCGAATATAAAATTTTCTTTTTAATTCTCAGCAAGGCAAGGTACTTCTATAGAAGGGTACGCCCTTACAGATGGAGCAACGGTGAGCGCACACTTGGACAAGGGAGGGGAAAGGGTTCTTATCCCTGATGCACGTGGCCCCTGCTGCTGTGTCATTCCCCTATTGGCTAGAGTTAGACCACACAGGCTAAACTAATTCAGATTGGCTAATTTAAAGACAGTGACAGGGTGAGTGGTTTGGCTGGAAAAATGGTTATGACAGAGCAAGTAATGGGTCAGGGTGGAGCAGGTAATCAGAATGAGTCAGGGTGGAGCAGGTAATCGGAATGAGTCAGGATGGAGCAGGTAATCGGAATGAGTTAGGTTGCAGCAGGTGATTGAAATGAGTCAAGGTAGAGCAGGTAATCAAAAAATGTTGCTTTATGAGGAAGTTAAGTTTAAAAGTAGAAGGCAAAGAACTGAACACACTAACATATTGATTATTTGAAAAGAAATTTAGAACTCATATCTAACGTTACTTTAGATCAGGTATTCATTTCTGTTGTGGGTATCAGAATAGCCTCTCACCTGAGTTCCAGGCCACTTGCCCTTCAGTCTTCCTGCACTCTTCACCAAGTCTATTTTTCATACATATACACCTAGACTCAGCATAATCCTACTAAGGACTGCAAAGTTTCTCCACTGCCAGCAGCATGAAATCCAAATTTGTTATAGTGCTAGACACTTTTGGACTAATTTAGTATTTCAACCTAATTTCCCCATTCTGAAATATAGGCACACATATTTATTTCCAGTTTCCTCACATTTCTCAGTTGTTTCCCAAATGTCACAATACTCCTGCTTTCAAGCCTTTGTTTGTGACATTTTTCTCCCTAGAAAGGCTCTCTCCTCAAAACCTAGAAGACACTGTCTCGTTCTTCAATGCCCAGATAAACATTGTGCCCATTGAGGTATCTGACGGATTCTAGGCAGAGACAAATCAGTCTTTCCTTTGTTTCTATGACTCTTGACATCTTTCTCTTGTAGTGATACATTACAGTTGTCTCTCTCTCTCTTCCTAGCTTGATTTTTAAGTTCTTGAGAATAAAGAATTCATTCACTTGACAAGTCATTATTATACAAGTTTGTAATCCTATTACTATAATTATTATTTAGTACCTACTAAATGACAGGTACTATTCCTAGGGTAGAGGATACAGTGGTGAACACAACAAACAAAATCCCTACCTTGTTGGAGCTCACATTCTAGTCTGAGGAGAAAAACGATACACAAAATAAATAAATCATATGACAGAACATGATAATGCCTAGAAAAAATTAAGCAGAGAAGCAGGATAACAATTACTGAGAGTGGCCAGGTGTGGTGGCTCACACTTGTAATCCCAGCACTTGGGGAGGCCAAGGCCAGTGGATCACTTGAGGTCAGGAGTTCAAGACCAGCCTGACCAACATAGTGCAACTCCGTCTCTACTAAAAATACAAAATTAGCCAGGTGTGGTGGTGCATGCCTATACTCCCAGCTACTTGGGAGGCTGAGGCAGGAGAATAGCTTGAAGCCAGGAGGCGGAGGTTGCAGTGAGCCAAGAACGCACCATTGCACTCCAGCCTGGGCAACAAGAGCAAAACTCCATCTCAAAAAAAAAAAAGAATGACTGAGAGTGCTGGTTGCAATTTTAACTTGGGTGAACAGACATGAACTCACTGAGAAGTGGTATTTGAACCAAGATATGAAGATAGTGAGGCAGAAAGCCATGCAGCTATCTAGAAGAAACATACTACAGGGAGCAGAAACAGCCAGTGTACAGGCCCTGAGGTGGGAGCATGCCTGGCACATTCAAAGACCATTGTAGAAGCCAGCGTGTAAAACAAACAAACCAAAAAACAACCAGATTCTGTCATTTGCAACAACATGGATAGAGCAGAAGATCATTATGTTAAGTGAAATAAGCCAGGCACAGAAAGACAAACATCACATGTTCCCACTTACTTGTGGGATCTAAAAATCAAAACAATCGAAGTCATGGAGCTAGAGAGTAGAATGATGGTTACCAGAGGCTAGGAAGGGTAGTGGGAGGGTGGGGAACAGCTGGGGATGGTTAATGAGTACAAAAAAAAAAATAGAAAGAATGAATAAAACCTATGATTTGATAGCAAAACAGGGTGACTATAGTCAATAATAATTTAATTGTACATTTTAAAATAATGAAGAGTATAATTGGATTGTTCATAACTCAAAGGATAAATGCTTAAGGGGATGGATACCCCATTTTCCATGATATGACTGTTACACATTGCATGCCTGTATCAAAACAGCTCATGGATCCCATAAATATATACACCTACTATGTACCTACAAACATTAAAAATAAAAAAAAATTAAAAAGAAACCAGTTTGACTGGAGAGGAGAGAACAAGGGGAAGAAAACTAGGAAATAAAGTCAAAGATCATGCAGGGCTCCATAGCCCACTATACATGTTGAGTTGTTTCTTTTTTTGTTTTTTTGTTTTGTTTTGTTTTTTACAGAGAGAGAGAAGGAAAACATTGGAAAGTATTAAACAATAAACCAATTTGATTCTTACGTTTTAACAGGATCACATGACTGCCATGTGTTCATCAAATAATTTTATTGCTTCCCTTAATACATAGCTACATGCTATTTCCCAGTTTCCCTTGCTAGACAGGACTATGCAACTGACTTCTGGCCAAAAAGAAGTAGTCAGAAATGATGCTACTCTACTTCCAGTCCCGGCCTATGAGAAAACACATACACACTCTCTGCCAGATGCAGATAATCCAATATGTAATTAATTCCATGTTGTAAAGAAAGGTAGATCCACTACACGGAAGAATTCTGGGACCCTGAATGGCCATGTGGATCAGAGCTCCTTCACCTACTCACTGTCATGTGAGAAAATGACAAACATTTATTGCACTAAACCTCTGAGACTTTGGAGTTGTTTGCTAAGCAGTTAGTGTCATGACTAACATAGGAGGCTATTGCAATTATCCAAGTCTAATACAGTGGTGGTTTGGATCAGAGTGATAACAATAGTTATCAGTCAGATTTTTGACATATCTTGAAAATGAACCAATAGGAAGACTGACAGATTGTACTTGGGATGTGAAATTAAAAGTGGAGTTGAAGATAACTCCAAGATTTTTGGCCTGAACAACTATCTGCATTTACCTGACTTAGGGAAGATTCTGAGAGGATCCAGCTTTGGAAATAATTGGAAACTAAGTTTAAGAAATGGAAGGGTTGACCAAACGTAGTGGTTCATGCCTGTAATTCCAGCAATTTGGGAGGCTGAGGTGGCCAGATCACTTGAGGTCAGGAGTTTGAGACCAGCCTGGCCAACATGGTGAAATCCCATCTCTACTAAAAATACATACACAAAAACAATTAGCCAGTCATGGTGGCACATGCCTGTAATCCCAGCTACTCGGAAGGCTCAGGCAGGAGAATCACTTGAACCTGGGAGGTGGAGGTTGCAGTGAGCCGAGATAACGCCACTGCACTCCAGCCTCGGCGACAGAGCAAGACTCTGTCCCAAAAGAAAAAAAAAAAAGAGTGAAAGATTTGAGATCCAGCTGCAAATATCATATACAAGACTGCAGTTTAGGGGCAAGGCCTGGAGATATAAATTTTGAAGTTGTCAACATAATATTTTTAAGCTACAAGACCATGTAAGGTCTCTTAGGGAGCTGGTCTGAAGAAAAGCGCCCAAGGAGTATTCCAGTTTTCAAAGGCTAGGGAGGTTTCTGGGTTGGTTTGTTTTTTTTAAGTACCAAGCAGGTAAATTAGAAAGGAAAGCCAGTGAGGTAAGGGAAAACCTGGACAGAATGGACACCAGATAAAGAATTTTGGGCCAGGTGTGGTGACTCATGCCTGTAATCCCAGCACTTTGGGAGGCCAAGGCGGGCCAATCACCTGAGGTCAGGAGTTGGAGACCAGCCTGACCAACATGGAGAAACCCCGTCTCTACTAAAAATACAAAATTAGCCAGGCGTGGTGGCACATGCCTGTAATCCCAGCTACTCGGGAGGCTGAGCCAGGAGAATCGCTTGAACTCGGGAGGTAGAGGTTGCGGTGAGCCGAGATTACACCAGTACACTCCAGCCTGAGCAACAAGGGCAAAACTCTGTCTCAAAAAAAAAAAAAAAAAAGAATTTCAAAGACAATAGAGTAATTAACTGCATTCCCACGTGGTAGATCACCTAAGAATATTTTTGTCCTTTTTCTAAAGATAAAAAGGATGATACATAACTAAAAAATGAATAAATATTAATAAATTTTTGATCACTTCAAACTATAGCTAAGATTTTCTTCAAGCAGTGAGAATACTAAAAGAGTTCCATGAGGGACACACTAGTCAAGTATTATGCTTAAGGGAAGTGATCAAATGAAATTTGCTTTAAAAACTATTCTTTAATTAAATGGCAGTTTCATCAATCCCCAGAAGCAAAGCATATTTTGAATATCTAAATGGTAGAAAAAAATTGCTTATTTGTGGGGAAGGAAGTTAGGGGAGTCACAAAGTACTCAATTGTAAGCATTGTGATTTACAACCTCAGAAATTTTCTCTTTGGGGATGTATAATATTTTTATTTTTTTAAAAAATAGCAATTGTTTCTTAAAAGACTAGCTCTTTAAAACTATAAGGAATACTGAATTTTATGTAAGTAGGTAATAATTATTTCCTTCACATCACTGTCTTCCCAAATAGCTACAACTATTAAGCTTTCCCATCTTTACATACTTCCAATTTCTCTTCCTCCTTAATTCTTTTTAATATGTTAAAAATATTACCCTGAGTATTAAACTGAAAAATTTGTTGGGAATTAATACAAAGAGTAAACTAGCACTGACAGAATGTTGATAACAAAAGAAATGTTATTTAGAGGAATTACCTATTTACATACACAGAAAGACACAAAAAAATGAGGAACTAACAAATACCGATGAAAGACAAAATTAATTCAACAAAATAAAAAATAAACACATAAAAATTAAACAAGAAAAACTATAGCTATATCTGAACAATAAGACCAAGCACTAGTATATAGTTATAGATATCATAAATATTATTATAATTTACTAAAATTATAAAATTGGACCCAAGTTAAGCCCAAGTTGCTGATGGCCAACAAATCCTCCAAAGGAGTGATAATTAAATCTTTAATTTCCATATGTGTCTTGGATCTTCATACAAGGGCCACTGTGTTGTACAGTAGGTGACAACTTCAATTGCCTCCCTAAAATAAACACAAGAATGTGTTGCATTACAAAAATATATGCATCCAACAATGAAATTAACTGGAGGGGCAGATGCAAAAGAAATTTAAAAGGAATTTGGGGAACAAACCAAATCAAGCTAGGCACGATGCCTCATGCCTGTAATCCCAGCACTTTGGGAGGCTGAGACAGGTGGATCACTTGAGGTCAGGAGTTCAAGACCAGCCTGGCCAACATCATGAAACCCCATCTCTACTAAAAATACAAAAATTAGCTGGGTGTAGTGGTGGGTACCTGTAATCTCAGCTACTTTGGCGGCTGAGGCAGGAGACTCCCTTGAACCCAGGGGGCAGACACTGCAGTGTGAGCAGAGATCATGCCACTGCACTCCAACCTGGGTGATGGAGTGAGGCTCTGTCTCAAAAAAAAAAAAATCAATATGGACTACTGCATAGCTTTTCAATGTTCTGGTTTATTTCACAGAAAATAATGGGCTGCTTCAAACAGAAATCATGTTTCAGTGGTGCTTAGAAAAATACTAAAAATACAAGGATCTTGACCAGGTGCAGTGGCTCATGCCTATAATCCCAGCACTTTGGAAGGCAGAGGCAGGAGGATCACCTGAGGTCAGGAGTTCGAGACAAGCCTGGCCAACATGGTGAAACCCCGTCTTTACTAATAATACAAAAATTAGCTGGGTGTGGTGGCACTTGCCTGTAGTCCCAAATACTCGGGAGGCTGAGGCACAAGAATCGTTTGAACCCTGCAGGCAGAGGTTGCAGTGAGCCAAGATCTCACCACTGCACTCCAGCCTGGGTAACAGAGTGAGACTCTGTCAGAGGGGAAAGGAGGGGAGGGGAGGGGAGGGGAGGGGAGGGGAGGGGAGAATTCACCGTTTGTGCGCTGCCTTCAAGTTAACACCTGTCTTCACTGTGCTGTCTATGGTTGCAAATTCCTTGGAGATGGGAACTCTGCTATTTTAATTGTGCACAGCGCCTAGGGGAGGGAAGGGGAGGAGACTTGAGAATTCACTGTTTGTGTACAGCCTTCAAGTTAACACCTGTCTTCACTGTGCTGTCTATGGTTGCAAATTCCTTGGAGATGGGAACTCATTTTAATTGTGTACAGTGCCTAGCATGGCATCTTGCAGAAACAGAGATTTTCAAATGGCAAAAAACATTGACTCTTCTACAAAGGTTCTCTGACAAAAGGGTGATAGACTGCTGCCTCTAAGCTGCAGAGGTTCCTTTCCTCATTGCTCACAGCTCTGTGGATTGCATGATGTTCCTTGATTGTCATCCACTGGGAGTAAATGGAATAAAGAAAGAAAGACCTTGGAATTAGCATTTCTCAGTGCAGACCTTTAGAAACTGCCACTAAATTTTCTAACCACCAGCTGTATTATACAGCTTTAAGCATAAGTTGTAGAGTCTTACAATCCTTGCCCCACAAATTAAATAAATTTGAGCTGCAGATAAATAAATAAATCTGCAGAGTTGACCCAAAAATAGTAAAGCTCATTTTTTAGTACCTATGTAATAGTCATCATACATATTGTACTTAATAGAAATGCATTACAACTCGGTTGGGTAGATAATATTCAACTCATTCTAGCTTTGAGCTATTGAATATTTGTAAAATACTTTTTCTGGTGTGGACATAGCCAGTGAAGAGTACAGCCACACTCAAACCTCAAAACTGTGTTCATTCTACAATATCCAATATTGTTCTCTATCTTCCATATTATTTTTTGTTCAGAAATTTAAAGCAATGTTTATAAAATTAATGGATACTTTTTAAAATTAGAGCCTGATATAAGTCCATGCTCCTTTCACAATTCAACTCTGCTCTAAAGTTCCAGTTGATATTCTGTTTAGAAATTTGAAGTAGTGCTTATAAAATAATCCTTTTTCACAACTATAGCGTGACATAAAATTATGCATCTAAAATATGAATGCAGAAATAACAAACTTTAGAATGCATTGGAAAAGGTGACAACTTAAGAGATATTTTATCCAAAAAAAGAATCTCTTCTAGAACAATACACAATGAGATGTAAATTCAAGGTCTCCTTCTTCTTAATAAACATTAAACAACAGTCACATTTAGACACTGATATCAGTAATAAAAATAATACAGAGATATAAATTATTTCATTTAAAATATTTATATAAATATTTCTGGACTAAAAATAAGCACCGAAATGTGAATGCGTATTTCATTGACGTATTTGTTTTTGTGTGTCTGTGTGATCAATTGTATAAGCTAGAAGTACAGTAATTTACCTTAGAGATTTGGAAAACCGCTAAAACTGGCATAAATAAGCATAAGACAGGAGGTGTTCAATGCACATTAGGAATGCTAGTGCTCAAACCTGGTTAACATCACCACAGGATCTGAAATTCAAAGGTGTTAAAGTAAAATGGATCATAAAGTCAAACTAGGTATCAAATTCCAAAATATTAAGAATAACTGGGCTATTGAATAACAGGCTTAACATTGATACGAGTTGAATAATAATAAAGTTAAAGCTTTTGATCTGTAAGATCTGTCATTTCTGAAATATTATTTCACCAACCTAGACAAAAGAAATGAATTGTTCGTTTTCCTTCCAATATCACAACTGTCTCAAAAGGTTCTCTTTACAGCTACCAAATTTTGCTTTTTATAATTCTGAGATCATTTTGAAATGCCGATACATTTTTCTAAAGTGAATTGTTAAGAAATAATGGACTCTTAACAATGTAATCTCCTGTTCAATTTAAAATGTTTTAGGTCTCATTGCAATCTCATTGTAAATGAGCCTCAGATTATACAATACCATCAAAGCAAAATCTGTCCAGGATTTTCTCATGTGTTTTGTGTTTATAAACTTTTTTTCAGCCTGTAGAAACTATTTTAGACCTTGAGCTTTGCAGTGACTAAGGAACTGTTAAATAAATAATTTAAATATTAATAGATATATCATAATACAGCTTTTAAATGGAGCGATATGTACCATGCAATTCTATTTTCTGATAGTACAGACCAGGTTTCATAACTAATCCTCCAACCAAAAACAAGTTAAAATGCCAAGTGAAGTATATTTTTAATCTTTTTAAATGTCTATAGCTAGCTAGCAAGAAAAGTAAGGAATATTTAGATGTCAAAAATTAAGTGAGGAAAGAAACGCAACAAGGTAAGAAGAGAATTTAAAACAGATCATTCCTTAAAGAAAGTCAATTCTTAAATTTGGTAATTTTAAGTTTTGGAATTTTTCATGACTTTAAAGGTACAGGAACAGATAACAGTGCCCAAAGCATGTCCAGTGAAGGAGTTTAATAGAATGAGAAAGGAAAAAGAATGATATAGGAAATATTTGAAGGAATAATGACTTCAAGTTCCTAAAATCTCTGGAAGATCCCTCTCCACAAATTCAGAATCCTCACAAATATCAAGCAAGATTAAAGAGAGAAATATACATCATAATGAAACTTCCAAAAAACAATGAAAAAGAGAAATCCTAAATAAAGCAAGAGAAAAAATAGACATCACATGCAAAGGAATTATAATGAGACTGACAGACAATTTATCCTGTGCAACAATGGAAACCAGAAGAAAGTGGAATTATATGCATACTGAGACAAATTAGGTGTAAGAGTTCTAAACCTAATGAAAAAAATTAATCAAATTTATTAAGGTATATCTAAAATAAGCTGTATGAATGTGTGCAATTCAGTGAGCTTCAAAAGATTATTATAACCATGAAACCAATGCCACAACCAAAATACAGACTATTTTATCACCCCAAAAGCTACCTCAAGTGCTTTTACATTACCTACCACTCTCTACCACTGGTACCAGACAATTGCTGCTATATATTTTTTATAGTATAGCATTTTCTGCACTTTTTTACATGAATGGCATCACACAATATCCATTTCTTGTGTCTTGATCCTTTTACTTAGAATAATTCTGAGGTCGATGCATGCTGTATTATGAATCAGCAGTTCATTCTTTATTTCGGAGTACTATTCAGTTGTAAAGATATACCACATTTCACTTATCCATTCACAGATATTTAGGTTGTGTCCACTTTTTGGCTATTGGGCATAAAGCAGTTATTAACATTCATCTTTGTGTAGATCCATGTTTTCATTTTATACCTAGAACAAAATGTCTGGATCATATGGTAGGCATATGTGTACTTCTTAAAATGTGACAATCTTCCAAAGTAATTTGAAGTGTAGGAGAATTCCTGTTGCTTCAAATTCTCACCAATATTTGTATTCCCAGAAATTTTACCATAAGCATTCTAATTATATGTAGTGTTATCTTATTGTGATTTGGACTTTTATTTTCCTGATATGTCAAGCACGTTTTCATGTCTTATTGACCATTGTTTCCTAAAGTATCTGTCCAAATTTTTTGCCCATTTTCAAATTGGATAGTTTGTCTTCTTATTTTTTAATTAGAAGAGTGTTGGCCAGGCGTGGTGGCTCACACCTATAATCGCAGCACTTTGGGCAGATCACCTGAGGTCGGGAATTCCAGACCAGCCTGACCAACATGGAGAAACCCCATCTCTACTAAAAATACAAAATTAGCCGGGCATGGTGGTGCATGCCTATAATCCCAGCTATTCGGGAGGCTGAGGCAGGATAATCACTTTAATCCAGGAGGTGGAGGTTGTGGTGAGCCAAGATCGCATTATTGCACTCCGGCCTGGGCAACAAGAGTGAAACTCTATCTCAAAAAAAAATAATAATAAGATCTGATTTATCGATTTTTTTATTTTATGAGTCATGCTTTTTGTGTAATAACTAACAAAATTTCCTACTCAAAGTTGCCAAAAGATTTTAACCCATGTTTCCATCTAAAAGTCTTACTTTTTTAACTTTCCCATTTACGTCTATACTTCATCTCAAGTTAATTTTTGTATGTAATGGAAGGGAAGGGTTGATGTTTATTTTTTTTCATACAGACATTCATTTGCTTCAGCACCATTGTTGAAAAGACATTTCTTTCCCCATGAAATTGCTTTAGCATCCTGTAGAAAATTATTTAGTAGGTATATGTATGAGTTTATTTCTAGATTTCCCATTCTGTTCCATTGATCTATATATTAACTCCTTCACTAAAATCATAAGGTGGATGAAATACACAAAAATCATAAAATGATAAAGAGTATTCCAAATATATTAATTTAAAAACTTATGGAGCAAATGTTCTCATTTAAGAAAGAAGAAACTTATAAACTGTGTTTTCTAAATCCAGCTATATTTTGTTTATAGACAATATATATCTGTAACATAAAGATGTACAGTATGAAAGAAGAAAAACTGTTATGTATATGCCAAGCAAATACTGAGGAAAGCTTGTATAATTCCATTAACAGTAAACAATTTGTTTATAAATGAAGAACATTGATAGAAATAAATCAATTCATAATGATAAAAGGTTCAATACACATGGACAACTATCAGTCCCAAAATTATAAGCAACTAATAACATAAGTTCAATGAATACAAAGCAAAAAATTATGTAAACACAACAAGAAAAAAACACTCTCAACATAGAATATTTTAATATACCTCTTCCATTAATCAACATATAAATCAGACATCTTGTTACAGTCTAGCCCAAATGAAAGTGCAAAAGTGTTCCCAAAACCCGAAGATCAAAGAAAATACCACTGCAAATGCCACATCCACAGATATCTGAAGCTCTCCAACCTTATGGATGAATCACCTCATTATCCTCTTACCAAAAATTCCAACCTTTTAATATGCCTGAACAGGTAAGGAAGTGCTTGTTCCTGTTTGGTTTAGGCTAAGTAATACAAAGTGCTGTAACAAACAAACCTAATAAATTTCAGTTGGCTTAACAAAATAAAGGTTTTTTTTTAATTCATTTTACAATCCAATTGAATGACCACCAACTGATATGGTCACACAGTGACCCAGGTCACTTCCACCTGGAGGTTCCACTATACCATAGAACCTTAACTAAAGAACCTCATAGAACCTCGTGGTTCCACCATGCCATAGAACCTCAACTAAAGAACCTCATAGAACCTCATGGTTCCACCATGCCATAGAACCTCAATTAAAGAACCTCATAGAACCTCGTGGTTCCACCATGCCACGGAACCTCAACTAAGGAATCTCATAGAACCTCATGGTTCCACCATGCCATAGAACCTCAACTAAAGAACCTCATAGAACCTCATGGTTCCACCATGCCATAGAACCTCAACTGTAGAACCTCATGATTCCACCATGCCATAGAACCTCAATTATAGAAGCTCATGCTTCCACGATGCCATAGAACCTCAATTATAGATCCTCATGGTTCCACACTGCCATAGAACCTCAACTATAGAACCTCATGCTTTCACCACGTCATAGGACCTCAACTAGAGAACTTCATGTTTCCACCATGCCACAGAACCTCAACTATAGAAATTCATGGTTCCACAATGCCATAGAACTTCAATTATAGAACCTCATGATTCCACTATGCCATAAACCTCAACTATAGAACCTCATGATTCCACCATGCCATAGAACATCAACTATTGAACCTCATGGTTCTACAATGCCATAAACCTCAACTATAGAACCTCGTGGTTCTACAATGACACAGAACCTCATGGTTGCATCCTGCCATAGAACCTCATGGTTGCACCCTGCCATAGAACCTCAACCTCACAGAATCTGTTGCTGGATCTTGTACATCTATCTAGAATCTGGGGGAAGTGAAAGAATGGCAGTTCACAGGAGGTTTTAATGGATCAGTATTGGAAGGGAACACATAACTTCACAAGATTTAGTTACACAGCCAGACATAATTACAAAGGAGGCTGGAAATTATTTTGTAATGTGCCCATGAAGTAGATAAAATAGTTTTGGGGAACACATAGAATACAATAAAGCCACCCTTTTTAGTGGACAGCTCAGTAAGTTTCGACAAGCACGTTTAGTTATGCCATCTGCAGCACAATCAAGATATAGGATAGCAGAATTACCCCCAAAAAATTCCCCTTTCCTCTTCACAGTCAACTCCTCTGCCCGGACTCCCACCTCTAGCTCCTGGCAACTATAGATCTACTTTCTGTCTTTCTAGTTTTGTCTTTTCCAAAATACCAAATAAATGGAATCATATAACATGTAGCCTTTGGGGGCAGGATTCTTTCACTTAATTTAGTGTTGTTCTGTATATTAGTAGTTTGTTCCCTTTTGCTGCTGAGTTATACCCCAAGATGCATGACACCAAAAGACCAATTCATAAAAAAAAATATATAGATGAATTTGACTTCAAAATAAGAACTCCTGCCCTATGAAAGACACTCTCAGGAGATGAAAAGAAAAGCCACAGACTATGAGACAATATTTGCAAACAGCATATCTGACAAAGGACCTATATCCAGGATATATAAAGAGTTCTTAAAACGCAGTAACATTTTTTAAATTATTTAATGGGCAAAAGATTTGAACAAACACTTCACCGAAGACATATGGATGCCAATAAGCATGTGAAAAGATGCTCAATATCACTAGTCATCATAGAAATCAAAATTAAAACCATAATGAGATATCACTACATACCTATTATAATGGCTGTAACTTTTTTTTTTTTTTTTTTTTTGAGATGGAGTTTTTCTCTTGTCACCCAGGCTGGAGTGCAATGGCACGATCTCGGCTCACTGAAACCTTTGCCTCCCAGGCTCAAGTGATTCTCCTGCCTCAGCCTCCTGAGTAGCTGGGATTAGTAAAGGCACCTGCCACCAGCCCAGCTAATTTCTGGGTTTTTTTAGTAGAGATGAGGTTTCAGCATGTTGGCCAGGCTGGTCTTGAACTCCTGACCTTAGGTGATCCGCCTAAATGGCTGTGGGCTGTGATATTTTAAATCGGCGATACAAAGTGCTCAAAATGATGCTGAGCAATTGGAATTCTTTTCGATTCCTAGCAGGAATATGAAATACACATCCACCCAATTTGGAAAACAGTCTTGCAGTTTCCTTAAAATTAAACATACATTTACCATACAATCCAGCAATTCTACTCCTAGGTATTTACACAAGTGAAACAAAAACTTAGGTTCACATAAAAACCAGTAAAAATGTTTATAGCAGCTTAATTCATAAACACTAAAAACTGGAAATAATCCAAGTATCAATCTACTGGCAAAAGGATACACAAAATCTATTGTTTTTCAATGCTAAATTAGGTAATGTCTGGATATATACTAAGGGCTCCAAAGTTTATTAGATGAA
Source organism: Homo sapiens (assembly GCF_000001405.40). NCBI lineage: Eukaryota > Metazoa > Chordata > Mammalia > Primates > Hominidae > Homo > Homo sapiens. Next base: position 18,739,427 of record NC_000010.11, on the reverse strand, counting down.
CAAGTCTATTTTATCTCACGTTAAGCTGCAATCTTAGTTCTAAAACACTATTGTTTTAGAAAGTAAAGTTTGTTATTTTGTTTTTATTTTCTCATTCCAGTGAACTATCAGTTCTCTTCAAGGAAACAGTGAGAAGCAAACAAAGCAGAAGTCTGGCAAATGTGTGAGACTGAAATATCTATTAGGCCAAAAAAGATCGAGAGAAAGATTACTCCAGATGAGACAGCCAGTCATTGGCACTAAGCAATTTCAGCTGTGTCCTAGATTCCAAAAGTAAAGTCAATACTGGGAACAGTGTTTCTTCAAAAGCCCACGGAAGGTTCTCACACAACACTCACAATGCATATCTGTTTCCCAATCTTTAGGCAAGAGCTGCATTCAACATATTCTGAGTAAAATAGGCCAATGGCCATTTTAAAGACATTATATGTGAATCACTCAAATTTCCAACATGCCTGGGAATAAGCCTAAAACTATGTGGTTTACAAGAAATGCTTGTGAAATGTTATCTCGGTCACCCCTACATTTTTATGTCATTTTTTTGTGAAGTGTTTTATTGTTTAAGGTTTAATGTCTAATTCCTAATTCTTTAATTTTTTTTAGAAGAATCAGATTTTTTTCATGATGTGAAAATTAAGAATTTGCCTACATGGTTGAAAACATTCACAAGAGACTTGATTATTCACATTTATATACACAGAGAAAGTTTGCTGAATTAAAAAAAAATGCTCCTTTACCCATGCAACCCACTCTCAGGGACACTGAAGGGCTTGTCTATTCCACTGTGGGCTTCAGTTTTCATGAATGTTGAATAGTTTGGCCACTTCATTGAGATCTTCAAGTTGCTCACCATCCTCAGTGGTCTTCCTTGCTATCGGCATTCGGTTAAAGATGTTCCATATAGCATGAGCCCCATGACCACTTTGTCCCTGGGATCAAAAATGTCACCTTTGCCGTAGTCTTCTCCCTGGAGAGGAGCCTTGGAACTGCAGGGGTTCTAGGAGGAAGAGTAATTTCTGAGGCCTCGTACCGTGTTTCACTCTCTGAGCAGATAACAGCTCCTGATTGCTCTTTGGCAGATTTTGGGTTGTCTTGCACAGCTGCTTTTGCAAAAACACCAACTGTGGGCCAATAGCTTCATAGCCAGCATCAGGGCTCAAATCATTCCAGCACACTGACTGATGCCAATACGGCTTAGCAGCTCCAGTCATATTTTCTCCAGCCAATCTTCTGCTCACAAAAGCTTGATCATGGTGCTCTAACCGCCTCCTCCCCAGATTTATATCATAGAAGCATGCAGCATCTCCTGCCACCCAGATGTTTAGGCATGAGTATAGCTCTACATTTACCCAGAAGCCACCAAAATCTGGGCCTATTTCCAGCCCACCAGTTCTCGGCCAACTCAGCACTGGGCTTCAGGCTCACGGCTGCTGCTATGTGGTCAGTTTCTACCTTCCCACCATCTTTCAACGTGATGAGTAACTTGCCACTGCTGACTCCAACCGGTTGCACAACAGCAATGGGTATCATCTTAACCCCCTCTCGTCTGACTTTTTCCACGGTTCAGTTGCAGAGGGATTTGCAGAAGACCTTTCCCATATTTCCCTTCTCAGAAAACAGGTGAATCACTTCTGTGCCCAAGGCTCCAACCCTTTCTGCCAAGAGCACAGGCCAGTTCACCACCAAGCAAGCCCCCACCGATAACCATAATTGACTTGACTTCCATGAAATCTTCTCCAGAGTCCTAGAGTCTCCAATCTTTCTAGAGAGTGTTGCTCTGCTCTTCACCTCTGATCCAGCTTCATCAATTTCAGACAGACTTCTTGGAGGACCTCTTGTTGCAATCAAGCAGTTTTCATAGGCTATTTGGGAGCCATCATTAAGTTTCACTGTGTTGCCTCTCACTTTCAGCTATACCATCTTCTACCTCGTGAGGATGGCCACAACACCATTCTCAATGTGAGGCAAGTCCTGGGCAGAGACACAGAAAGAGGTGGCTGGAAATACATGCTTCTCTCTTTTTCCATTCCACTGTCTGAATCACACTGTCTTTGTGACATCTGAGTCATCTGAAAACCACAGTTCTTTTGGAATTTTTGTTTGTTTTTCACTTTTATTTTAGGTTCAAGGGTACACGTGCAGGTTTGTTACATAGGTAAATTGGATGTCACAGAGGTTTGGTGTACAGATTATTTCATCACTCAAGTAATGAGCATAGTACCTGATAGTTAGTTTTTCAATCCTCACCCTCCTCCCACCCTCTACCTTCAAGTAGGCCCCAGTGTGCACTATTCTGTTCTTTTTGTTCATTTGTACTCAATGTTTAGCTCCCACTTATAAGTGAGAATATGTGGTATTTGGTTTTCTGTTCCTGTGTTAGTTCACTTAGGATAGTGACCTCTAGCTCCATCCATGTTGCTGCAAAGGACATGATTTCATTCTTTTTATGGCTATGTAATACTCTATGGTGTATGTATATGTACCACATTTTCTTTATCCAGTCTACCACTGATGGGCATTTGGGTTGATTCCATATCTTTGCTATTGTGAATAGTGCTGCAATGAACATACACGTGCATGTGTCTTCATGGTGGAATGGTTTATATTCCTTTGGGTATATACTCATTAATAGGATTGCTGGCTTGAATGGTAATTCTATTTTAAGTTCTTTCAGAAATCACCAAACTGCTTTCCACACTGGTTGAACTAATTTGCACTCCCATCAACAGTGTATAAGCATTCCCTTTCTCAGCAATCTCACCAGCATCTGTTATTTTTTGACTTTTTAGTAATAGTCATTCTGACTGGTGTGAGATGGGATCTCATTGTGGTTTTGATTTGCATTTCTCTAATAATTAATGATGTTGAGCATTTTCTCATATGCTTGTTGGCTGTGTCTTCTTTTGAAAACTCTCTATTCATTCCTTTGTCCATTTTTTTAATGGGGTTGTTTATTGCTTGTAAATTTGTGTAAGTTCCTTATAGATTCTAGATATTAGACCTTTGTTAGATGAACAGTTTGCAAATATGTTCTCTCTTTCAGTAGGCTGTTTACTCTGTTGATAGTTTGTTGTTGTTGTTGTTGTTGTTGCTGTACAGATGCTCTTTAGTTTAATTAGGTCCCATTTGTCAACTTTTGTACCATGGTTCTTTTCAAAGGGGAGATCACATGTATGGCAGCTCAGGATCTTCAGACATAATGAGGACCCCGGTCCCAGGATCCCGAACCCAGGTGGCTTCGGCTGCAGCAAAAACAGCAGTTCTTCCGCCAGTTAGCAGGAAAGGGACATGATTTGGCAAGCTGCCTTGAGGAACTGGCTCTCCATCTAGAGCAGATAATGTGGCCCTTTTTTGCTTCTCTTCTGATGTCAGCCCTAACCCTAGCATTCTTTCATTATATCTTTTTTGGTTATCCTTTATAGTCTTGCAGGCATATGCACCAGCTCCTGCTGTTGATAAGCCCACAATAAGGACTTACACAGAATTATCTACTCTGCCTCCTGGTGCACCAGAGCTAGCCATTTGTCATGTCATCTGGAGTTCTAGAGGAACACCCCAGTGCTGGAACAAGTTGCTTAGAAGCCAGTTCCTCTGCCTCAGGCTGCAGACACACACCATCTGCACCAAGGGCACCAGCTTCTGCTTCAAAGCACCCACCACAAGGCCTCCACATCAGAACATTTCAGCAACTGCTACTCGGAACCTCTTCCTTTCGTTTCCTTGGATTCACATCAGACCAACGGGTCAAACACCACCAATGTTTATGTTTTTACACTTAATTTTTTCCCTAATGATTGTGGAATACTCTCAATTTAATTATTCACAACATACTTGCAAAAGTCTACATTGTATATTAGGAAGTAAAAAGCTAGTCACCTACTTGTTGTAAAAGCTTTGAGAAGACCTACATCTCATCTGTTGGCAGAATCCCAGGGAGATGATTGGCCAAAAAATATAAAAATAATAAAAGACTGAGTTCCAGAAAAGAAGTGGAGCTGATGCAAGATGGAAAGATCTCAATCAGAGATGAAGACTGTGAGAATGGTTCAAGTACACATGCTGAGACTGGAGGATTAATTTTCCATCCTAAAAACCATTTACAGAGCAGAATGCAAGTGTATAAAAAAGGATAAAGGAGGCCAGGCATGGTGGCTCAAGCCTGTAATCCCAGCACTTTGGGAGGCCAAGGCAGGTGGATCATGAGGTCAAGAGTTCGAGACCAGCCTGAACAACATGGTGAAACCTTGTCTCTACTAAAAATACAAAAAAAAAAAAAATTGTCCAGGCCTGCGAGCATGGGCCTGTAATCCCAGCTATTCAGGAGGCTGAGGCAGGAGAATCTGGGAGGCAGAGATTGCAGTGAGCCAAGATCACACCACTGCACTCCAGCCTGGGGGACAGAGCGAGACTCCATGGCAAAAAAAAAAAAAAAAAAAAAAATAGATAAAGGCTGTCACCTGTTGCAGGAGTCTGAATTATGCCAGCTCAGTGGCTGATCTCAGCCACCCACAAAGAGGCACCTTGCCCAGGTAACATCAGCAACTGGGCCGCAGAGAAATGCTCACCATGTCCACAAGAGCATTAGTGCAGCACTGCCATTAGCTCCAGGCTTTAGATTCTTAGAGGACCCCTTCAGTGAGCATTTCAAAGCTGACACCCCTGACATCAATAAAACAAAGAAGATAAATGGCAGTTTTCATAAAATTGCAAGGACCACCAACCCCACCCCAGAAAGAGAAGGACAGAGGCTAGGTTCGAGCAACCCTTAGAGGACGTGGGGGGCTGAGCTGCAGAGTTCCAGGCTCATTTATATCTGTCTCTTAGTCTAATAATCTTATATAGCAAGGAGCAATAGCTGTTAGAATAATATTTATGGTTACATAGTATTCAGCAAAAAGCAGACACCTCATTCAATTATTTACTTTGACTATATACATGGTAAATAGCTCTCAGAAAATGTCTCTCAAAGCGACCTTAGCTTTTAGTCTCCACCAAAAGAACTTCAGATTTCAAAAGGGATAGCATCCAATATTAAGTTTCCCTTGTCACTTCTTACAATTTCTTATCAGGTTGGTGCAAAAGTAACTGCAGTTTTTGCCATTGACAGTAATGGCACTTCAGGAGGCTGAAGCGGGCAGATCACCTGAGGTCAAGAGTTCGAGACCAGCCTAACCAACATGGAGAAACCCCCGTCTCTACTAAATATACAAACTTAGCCAGGTGTGGTGGCACATGCCCAGCTACTTGGGAGGCTGAGGCAGGAGAATCGCTTGAACCCAGGAGGTAGAGGTTGCGGTGAGCCAAGATCGTGCCATTGCACTCCAGCCTGGGCAAAAAGAGCAAGACTCTGACTCAAAAAAAAAAAAAAAAAGTCACAGGTAATCAACCATACTTTGCCAAGTTGAAAATGTATTTGTTGAGAGCACAAGATAAACAGAATAAGTTAATACTCTAATCCCTTCTTAAAAGTCAACTACAGGCCAGGCATAGTGGCTCATGCCTGTAATCCCAGCATTTTGGGAGGGTGAGACAGGTGGATCATTTGATCCCAGGAGTTTGAGACCAGCCTGGGCAACATGGTAAAACCCCGTCTCTATAAAAAATTAGCCAAGTGTGGTTGCGTACACCTGTGGTCCCAGCTACTTGAGAGGCTGAGGTGGGAGGATCACTTGGGCCTGGCAGGTGGAGGCTGCAGTAACATAATTGCACCACTGCACTCCAGCCTGGGCAACAACAGCGAGACTTTGTCTCAAAAAGAATAAAAATAAAAAATAAAAACTTAGGACTCCTAATTCAAACCAACTTAGGATTTCTCCACAAATAAGACAGCAGAGGTTTTTCTACTGCGGTTAACTTTCTCCTTGTATTTATTGGATAAAATCATATGAGTAAATGCAAGCATAATTCTCTGGATGGACTAATATTTTAGAAATAAAAATGGAGTGTCTCATATTGCCAAAATAATTTGAAATTAACTGTAAATTGCATCCCTGTTCTAAAACATCATGTTTAGAAACATGAATCAACAGAATGACTCTTTTTTTTTAATGGCTAAAACCAACAGAAGAGCAACTGGGTTCCATTTTGAGAAGGTAGGATACCATAGGGGTTAAGGACAGTCTTTCAGGTCAGTAGATTTGAAAGGAAATCCTACCTCTCAGAAGCACCTCAAATCATGTGTGTCTTCTTTAACAATTTACTTCTTTCCTTTAAGCTTTACTTTCCTACCCGTAGGAAGACAATATTAATAACTACCTCATAGCAAAGCAACTCAATTAATCTATATGAACTATAGTTCCTCCTGCTGTAAAAATGGACTGTTCATACTGACCTCAGAGGCTCGTTGTTTGAACTTAACAAAAAACCTGCTAAAACACATGAAATGTCAATAACTACATAAATATCATAATTAAGTTGCTTCATATTATTTGTGGAACATGGTGGTATATAAATTAAGTAATTAAATATATATAAGTATTGACAACAATTAGTCTGGAGAATTATCTAGTCAATTCTCATACCAGGGTCTCGGGCTCTTACACTGATTAGAAAACCACATTTGGACATGGCTTGATACACAGGATCCTTGCCTTTATATCACTGAGTGAGCTTGTTGTGGAGACAAATGTCCAACAGGCATAGAGAGACAAACTCATTTCCCTTCATGACTGCACAATCTGAATACAGGTGGGCAAGTGAGGTCAAAACGTGGCTGAACCTTGGCACTATTCTTGCCTCATTGGTTTTCAGCCCAGGTTTCTTAAGAAAGCAAGCTTCTTTTTTATTGCATTATCTCAGCCTCTCAAACCCCAGAGTGCAACATTTCTAGAGATTTCTGCACAGCAAGGAGGATTTTTTTCCACACAAAAGCAATGTCTCAAACTTTTGCTGCTGTTGTTCTGACAGACTCCTTATATCTGTTTCTCCTTCAGAAACCAATGCAAAACTCAAGGGTGGCTTATTTAAACATTTTTTACTCACCTTATTAATATCCAGTGGAAATTATCTGGCACTGCCTTTCAAAGAAAATTCTATTAGTGTCGGGCAACAACATGCTCTGCAGTTTAAATGCAACTTTTAAGCATTTCAGAATTGATGCTTAAGTAATCACAGAATTTGCATTTTTAAACTCATGCTAGCATAATGAAGTAAAAGAGAAGCACAGTATCTGTGTTCTAGTCCTGATAATCATCAAATTTTACAAACTTCACTTTTCTTATCTACAAATGGATTTTTGCCAAGATCTAATGCACACACACACAAACATACTCCATATCCGTGGGTCCTGTGGGTTCCATGGGTTCAACATTCATGGATTCAACTGATTGCAGATCAAAACTATTCAAAAAAAAATTGTGTCTGCACTGAACATGTACAGACTTTTACTTGCTTGTCACTATTCCCTAAACAATGCCTGATCATAACTATTTACATTGCATTTGCATTGTATGAGGTATTATAAGTAATCTAGAGATGATTTAAACTATATGTGAAGGGCCGGGCATGATGGTTCAACGCCTGTAATCCCAGCACTTTGGGAGGCGGAGGTGGGTGGATCAACTGAGGTCAGGAAATCAAGACCAGCCTGGCCAGCATGGTGAAACCCCATCTCTACTAAAAATACAAAAATTAGCTGGGTGTGGTGGCGGGAGCTACTCAGGAGGCTGAGGCAGGAGAATAGCTTGAACCTAGGAGACGGAGGTTACAGTGGGCCGAGACTGTGACATTGCACTCCAGCCTGGCAACAAGAGTGAAACTCCATCTCCAAAAAAAACAAAAGAAAATAATAAAAATATAATAAGGTATATGTAAGTAATGTGCATAGGTTATATGCAAATACTAAACCATTTTATATCAAGGACTTGTGTAGCTGCAGATTTTGGTATCTGAGGGACATCCTGGAACCAATCCTCACAGATACCAGAGGATGAAAATATAACATAAATGTGCTTTTGTATACAAAGGTAAGGTTAAAAGGGGTTTGGTTACCTCTAAAATTTCCAAATTGCTTTTCAAATACCACAAATTATTTCCCAAGTAGTTATGATAATAATGCATGGGAGAGAAAAAGCCACTTGCAAACATCAGAATTCACGTTTTTAGTACCAGTTGTGGACAGCCTCTGTCCCTGGACCAGGAAATGTAAAGCTGAATTAGATACCTATCTACCTTCAAGAAGCTCATGGCGTGTCATAAACATCATCTCTGGTATTGCTGTAGATACTGCAAAGGTTTGCAAGGATTGCAAACAAACCACCTATTCCTTAGGTAGCAAGATGAACCACAATAAAGGACTTAACAACGTCTAGAACTTTGACAATATTTCTGCTTGACCTCTCCATTATGGAGCAGTACACATTAATTTCAAGAGGATCTTCCCATGAATTATCTGGCACACCCTTTTTTCCACCCTCATGATTAATAAAAGGCATTCTATGGATGTTTTACAGCAGTTCCAAGAAGGAACAACTCATCTGCGCTGTGCCTGAGAGCTGACCGTGAAAGGCCTCAGGACTACAGAAGTGGCCTGGGATCTTCACCTTTTAGCAAGACAACTTCCAGGGAATCCCTTTTTTCTGTCCACCATTCATTTTGACCTTCTGCTGCTTTATCCTCCTTACCCTACTCATCGCCTGGGGAGTGGGAAAAGGGATTGTTATGAATTGATTTATGTCTCCCCAAAATTCATATGTGGAAGCCCTAACCTCTGATGCTATTGTATTTCAAGATAGAGTCTTTTTTTTTTTTTTTTTTTTTTGAGACAGAGTCTTGTTCTGTTGCCCAGGCTGGAGTGCAGTGGTGCAATCTTGGCTCACTGCAACCTCCGCCTCCCAGGTTCAAGCAATTATCCTGCTTCGGCCTCCTGAGTAGCTAGGATTACGGACGTGCACTATGACACCCAGCTAATTTTTGTACTTTTAGTAGAACAGGGTTTCACCATGTTGGCCAGACTGGTCTCGAACTCCCGAGCTTAGGTGATCTGTCTGCCTGGGCCTCCCAAAGTGCTGGGATTACTGGCATGAGCCACCGCACCCAGCCACAAGAGAGAGTCTTTAACTCGGTAATCAAGGTTAAATATGACCATAACGGTGGGGCCCTAATCCAGCAGGACTGCAAATGCACACAGAAAAGGGCAGGTGAGGACACTGTGATAACGCAGCCATCTGAAGGCTGAGGACATAGACTTGGGAGAAAGTAAGGTGCTGCCCCCTTAATCTTGGACTTCGAGCCTCCAGAACCATGAGAAAATAAATGTCTACTGTTTAAGCCACCCAGTCTGTAATATCTTGTCATGGCAGTCTTAGCAGACTAATACAGGGGATTCACTAGGCTTTGAAGTCAAAGTGTTCTTCCGACAGACACAAACAGTTCCTCCGTTTTCAGCCCTGGGCCTGTGCCACCATCTCCATGGAAGCCAGTGCCTTCAGTTCCTCTGGGCTGCAGAGCAAGTGGGCAAACTTTGTATTGGTATCCCACAAACCTTAGGCAATTAGCTGTTAATATCACCCTTTTCCTCTCTGCTAAATCAATTTCTATTCTTATTTCTTGTGATTTATAGCTAATAGCACCTCTTAATGCCATCAAAAGTGAAATTCCACCTGTAATCCCAACTACTTGGAACGCTGAAGCAGGAGAATGGCTTGAAACCTGGAGGCAGAGGTTGCAGTGAGCCAAGATTGTGCCACCGCACTCCAGCTTGGGCAACAGAGCAAGACTCCATCTCAAAAAATAATAAGTAATAAAGTTCCATGTCACCAAACTGAAGCTAAGTTATACATCTGAACTTTCAAGAAATCAGGAGAGAGAGAAAATAGCCACATCTCCAAATAGGCCAGTTTTAGTTGGCATGACACTGAAGTCCCCTCTGCTTTAACTTTTACAAGAAAAGTAACTTCGAAACTATCAATCCGCATTCCGTTTTCTGTTTCTGCTTTCTTCAGCTCTTTTCTGTCTATAAAACCAAACACATCTGCTCAGGTCTTTGAAACACTCATTCTATTTTACAGAATAAAGGGTTGCCTGATTCTGGAATCGCAAATAAAGCCAACTAAGATCTTTAAACTAAACTTGCTGGCCAGGCACAGTGGCTCAAGCCTGTAATTCCAGCACTATGGGAGGCTGAGGCGGGCAGCTCATGAGGTCAGGAGATCAAGACCATCCTGGCTAACGTGGTGAAACCCCATCTCTACTAAAAATAGAAAAAAGTAGCCGGGGTTAGTGGTGCGTGCCTGCAGTCTCAGGTACTCGGGAGGCTGAGGCAAGAGAATTGCTTGAACCCGGGAGGTGGAGGTTGCTCTGAGCTGAGATCGCGCCACTGCACTCCACCCTGGGCGACAGAGCAAGACTCTGTCCCAAAAAAATAAAAATAAACTAAACTTGCTATGATTTTGTCTTTTGCCACTTCTGGCGACCCCGAAGGGACCCAGAGTACACTGCTGATCACCCCCCAAGACCCTTTGAGGAATGGATGCAGGAAAAGCACCACTGACCCCTTTTCAGGTTTCCTGTCATCCTCATGGAGCCCTGAGAGTCATAAGTAAGTTTCTCTCAAGTCAGACTCTGCTCCTTTTGCATTGCGCTCCTGGTTTTTTTTTGGCTTTCAAATCCAGAGTTTCTTTGTGCTATGAGAAGGCACTTGGCCTTTGGGTTTGTGGTGGCTGACAAGTAACTGGTAAGAGCTGCATCTTTCTGCTCCCACTTTGGAGATGTCTTGGCTAAAGTCATAGAGGCTTATTTGTTTCGGTCTTAAGTCAAGCCCCCAAGAATATGGCCAGACAGAAATGTGGGTGTACCCCATGTACAGCTAGCGTATTGACTGCTGCAAGCTCTCAAGGAATTGTCTAAGTCTTCTTTTCTTTTGGCTATCTTTGGGAGAAGCTCTGGATCATGAAAGAGCTACAATTTTAAAGGTAACTGTGAGCCGAGATCGCGCCACTGCACTCTAGCCTGGGTGACAGAGCAAGACTCCGTCTCAGAAAAAAAGAAAAAAAAAAAGGTAACTGACAGCAGTTGCAATAAATGGTAGTTATTGTAGGAGGCATGAACTCCTCAAAAATCTTAGGTATTTGGGTTTCTTTCCTCTTCTTTTCTTTTTCTTGAATGCCTCAGTAAGGGAGGCCTCAGGGGACTGACTGGGTCAGACAAAACTGGGTAAGTATTGGCTAAATTGGTCAAGGGGATCTCAGAGCCAAAGCTACAACCTGACTGGTGGGCACAGTTTGAGAACTTAAAAGCTATTACAGCTGTGGCTGGGTGCAGTGGCTCATGCCTGTAATCCCAGCACTTTGGGAGGCCGAGGCAGTCAAGAGTTCAAGACCAGCCTGGCCAACATGGTGAAACCCTATCTCTACTAAAAATACAAAAATTAGCCTAGTGTGGTGGCGCACACCTGTAATCCCAACTACCCGGAAGGCTGAAAAAGAAGAATCACTTGTACCTGGGATTCGGAGGTTGCTGTGAACTGAGATCGTGCCACTGCACTCCAGCCTGGGCGACAGAGTGAGACTCTGTCTCTCAAAAAAAATAAAGCTATTACAGTGCTCTCCACTAAAAAATAAGACTTCCATGAAAAAAATAAGCTGCTAACAGAATGGGCTAGCTAACATTAGGTTGCTCACCAGCTTCAAGGATATTTTCATGCAATGAGGTACGCCATGAAAGCATTACACAACACAAGCCCACGGTGCTTTCTTCGGGCTTTAATCTTGGCTCTAAGAGAGCCAAGATTCAACCTAAAAATTTCATCCTCAATTTCTAAAGACCTGAATACTCCATAGGACTACCTTTTACATGTGTAAATATTAGGTCACAGAAGCTGCTTACAAAAATGGCAAAATCATACTACAGATAATTTAGAATTATGATGGCCATAATGTGGAATATTCCAGATGAACCACATTGCACTTTAAGAAATGCATTTAAAAATGAGAGTCTCTCATAGGGGGCCTACCAAGGGTTGTCTATTGATGTGTAGACTCTTCCAAAAATGAATTTTAAAATGTTTATACTTTTTTAAAAAGACTCCTTACAAAGGCAAATGGAAAGCTTAAGTGACTAACAGATGAGAAAAACTGAATCTGCTAACCTTTTCATGTAGTTATTCTCCCTTCCCTAAGGCAAAAAGAAAGTGAGATAAAGTATTTATAAAGGTCAGGGTGGATCTGCTGCTTGTTCAGAGCTATCCATCCTGAGTTCATGTGTAGAAAATGCTTTTTTGGCCCCATATGTTAATGGGCTCCACCCTGAACTCAGTAAATTCAGTTGAGGAACAAGCATTGGCCAAGCACTGTGACTCATGCCTATAATCCCAGCACTTTGGGAGGCCAAGGCTGGCAGATCACCTGAGGTCAGGAATTCGAGACCAGCCTGGTCAACATGGTGAAACCCTGTCTCTACTAAAAATACAAAAATTAGCTAAGCGTGGTGGCATGCGCCTGTAATCCCAGCTACTTAGGAGACTGAGGCAGGAGAATTGCTTGAACCCAGGAGGTGGAGGTTGCAGTGAGCCAAGATCATGCCACTGCACTCCAGCCTGGGCAACAGAGCAAGACTCAGTCCTAAAAAAAAAAAAAAAAAAAAAAGAAAAGAAAAAGAAAAAAGGAAAGAAACTAACTCAAATGCTTTTTAAGTTCACATGACTTCAGTAAAATTTGGTAAATAAGAATACTGTTGGTTTAATTAAAATGGGATAGGGAGAGGGTGAAGATGGTTAATGGGTACAAAAAAAGTAGAAAGAATAAGACCACTATTTGATAGCACAATAGGTTGACTATAGCCAATAATAACAACTGTATATAGATTCAATGCCATCCCCATAAGCTACCAATGACTTTCTTCACAGAATTGGAAAAAACTACTTAAAAGTTCATATGGAACCAAAAAAGAGTTCGCATCACCAAGCCAATCCTAAGCCAAAAGAACAAAGCTGGAGGCATCACACTACCTGACTTCAAACTATACTACAAGGCTACAGTAACCAAAACAGCATGGTACTGGTACCAAAACAGAGATATAGACCAACGGAACAGAACAGAGCCCTCAGAAATAATGCCGCATATCTACAACTATCTGATCTTTGACAAACCTGACAAAAACAAGAAATGGGGAAAGGATTCCCTGTTTAATAAATGGAGCTGGGAAAACTGGCTAGCCATATGTAGAAAGCTGAAACTGGATCCCTTCCTTACACTTTATACAAAAATTAATTCAAGGTGGATTAAAGACTTAAATGTTAGACCTAAAACCATAAAAAACCTAGAAGAAAACCTAGGAAATACCATTCAGGACATAGGCATAGGCAAGGACTTCATGTCTGAAACACCAAAAGCAATGACAACAAAAACCAAAATTGACAAATGGGATCTAATTAAACTAAAGAACTTCTGCACAGCAAAAGAAACTACCATCAGAGTGAACAGGCAACCTACAGAATGGGAGAAAATTTTTGCAACCTACTCATCTGACAAAGGGCTAATATCCAGAATCTACAATAAACTCAAACAAATTTACAAGAAAAAAACAAACAACCCCATCAAAAAGTGGGCAAAGGATATAAACAGACACTTCTCAAAAGAAGACATTTATGCAGCCAAAAAACACATGAAGAAATGCTCATCATCACTGGCCATCAGAGAAATGCAAATCAAAACCACAATGAGATACCACCTCACACCAGTTAGAATGGCAATCATTAAAAAGTCGGGAAACAACAGGTGCTGGAGAGGATGTGGAGAAATAGGAACACTTTTACACTGTTGGTGGGACTGTAAACTAGTTCAACCATTGTGGAAGTCAGTGTGGCGATTACTCAGGGATCTAGAACTAGAAATACCATTTGACCCAGCCATCCCATTACTGGGTATATACCCAAAGGATTATAAATCATGCTGCTATAAAGACACATGTACATGTATGTTTATAGTGGCACTATTCACAATAGCAAAGACTTGGAACCAACCTAAATGTCCAACAACGATAGACTGGATTAAGAAAATGTGGCACATATACACCATGGAATACTATGCAGCCATCAAAAATGATGAGTTCATGTCCTTTGTAGGGACATGGATGAAACTGGAAACCATCATTCTCAGCAAACTATCGCAAGGACAAAAAGCCAAACACTGCATGTTCTCACTCATAGGTGGGAATTGAACAATGAGAACACATGGACACAGGAAGGGGAAAATCACACACCGGGGACCGTTGTGGGGTGGAGGGAGTGGGGAGGGATAGCATTAGGAGATACACCTAATGTTAAATGACGAGTTAATGGGTGCAGCACACCAACATGGCACATGTATACATATGTAACAAACCTGCACATTGTGCACATGTACCCTAAAACTTAAAGTATAATAATAATAAAATTTAAAAAATATATATATAAAGAGTGTAATTGTATTGTTTGTAACTCAAAGGATAAAAGCTTTATGAGGGATAGATATCTCAATCTCCATGATGTGCTTATTTCACATTCCATGCCTGTATCAAAACATCTTACACACCCCTTAAATAAATATACCTATTATGTACCCACCAAAATAAAAATAGAAAACAAAAAAATGAAAACAGGCATGTCTTCAGTATTGCCAGCATTAAATATAATGCAGAAACAATCTTTATTTCTATTAGACCATTAAGATCATAAAATTATGAGTTTGACCTAAGAATAAATTTGCAAGTGAGAGGACAGCGCAGTGTTCATTACTTTGTGTATATCAAGCACAGAAGCAAAATAAGGACCCATATATTTAATTTTTAGGGCTCTTCTTTAATGATACTTGCCCAATATGCATGTGCTATGAGACACTTCATGGGAAAATAGCTTGAGATGATGGCTAAGTCTGTCAAATGTCTCAATTTTCATGAATAATCTAAGTGTAATTGTTAAGGACAAAAGAAATAAATGTGAGATAAAACTTTATAAATGAACTTGTCATAGTTATCAAAATCTTTTTCAGCAACTTGAAATCTCAATCTCATGTAATATTAATAGACATTCATAAAATATCTGAGTCATTTCTAAGTTAAAATATTAACATTAATTGCTGAACATACGTTTAAACTATATACACTTTGGCATCTTGTTTTTATATGGTATAAAGAAGCTAAATATATTTGAGTCTGTTGGTAAACATGAAAAAATTGTTCCATGAGGGAGCACATGTTTTTGGAAGTTATAAAATGTATATTCATAAAATGTTGATGTATGACAGTTCAAAATTTCTTTTTCCCTAGGTTTTCATTAGAAATTAAGGTTATTAAGAGTCAAAAATTCTAATCAACATATGGTAATTAAAACTAGAAATAAAAAAAGAAACACTTCATATGGTAAGGAAAGTAAGACATGTTTCTGGTAAGTGAAGCTACGTGGTATGGAAGATGTGCTCTGGCTAAGAGAAAAAGTGAGTAATTTTTGTTTGGAAGTGGAATAACTGGTTTGTCCAAAAGGAGAAAGAGGGAACGTATAGGACAAAGGACTGAAGTAATATAAGAAAGTTATACATTTGTGGAAGATATATATTATGAAAGAAATTTTATGTGTAATCAAGTTGCCTAAAATTATAGAATTACTTATAAGTAACTCGTGTGCTTAAGCATTCCTCCTGCCTCAGCCTCCTGAATAGCTGGAACTACAGATGTGAGCCACCGCACCAAGCTCTTATTTTTCAGAATACTTGAGCACTTTGTCTGCTTGATTCCAAATATGATTAATAAAATTTCAGACTTGAGGGGAACAATCAGAGAAGAAGTCCATGAAGTTCACTCAGATATTTTTCAGGCATGACTGAAACCATTAGAGGGTGCTGTCACAGATTAAACAAATCCTGACTCTGACGAGCACGAAAATTCATCCACTAGGTAGCCTTGAATATAAAATATTTTACTCAGCGTCCTAAAATGAATAAATCATTCCCAGTCTAAACACAAAGAAAATGACTATTTATAGGATGTCATGTCTTGAGATATTTTAAATATAGGTTTTTATTATTTTTTTGGAGACAGGGTCTTACTCTGTCACCCAGGCTGGAGTGCATGGTGCAATCACGGCTCACTGCAGCTTTTACCTCCTGGGCTCAAGCCATCCTCCTGCCTCAGCCTCCCAAGCATTCAGGACTACAGGAGCATGCCACCACATTCAGCTCTTTTTTTTTTTAACTTTTTGTGAGATGGGGTCTTGCTCTGTCGCCCAGGCTGGTGTCAAACTCCTGGGCTCAAGTGATCCTCCTGCCTCAGCCTTCCAAAGTACTGAGATTACAGCCATGAGTCATCGTGCCTGGCTGGTTTTTATCTTTATGTAGAATTCTGATATTTCTTAATGGATCCTGAATCACCCTTAATATTCTTATTTTTAAATTTGACAATTTAAATTTAGTCACATTTTAATAGAGATCTGAGTCACTAGGTAGGTTTCTGTCCCACCTTGTCCCACCTGTGTGTGGAGATAAAGCACTTTCCACATAAAGCTGCCCAGAAGGCCAAGCGCGGTGGCTCATGCCAGTAATCCCAGCACTTTGGGAGGCCAAGGCGGGTGGATTACCCGAGGTCAGGAGTTTGAGACCAGCCTGGCCAACATGGCAAAACCCCATCTCTACTAAAATACAAAAATTAGCCGGGCGTGGTGGCACATGCCTGTAGTCTCAGCTACATGGGAGGCTGAGGCAGGGGAATCACTTGAACCCAGGAGGTAGAGATTGCAGATGAGCTGAGATCGTACCACTGCACTCCAGACTGGATGACACAGCAAGACTCTGTCTCAAAATAAATAAATAAATAAAAATAAAGCTGCCCATATATCTAGCCACATTGATAATGGTGTTAGGAAGAACAATCTCAGATTTGACAAAGTTCTCCTAAAGCTATCCAAAATATTATGACTAATAAATGGTTGTATAGAATTATCAAATTTGTAATGTGTAAATAAATTACCTCAGGTTTTCTCAGAATAAAATGTTCTAAAGTTGGCTGGGAGCAATTGCTCACACCCATAATCCCAGAACTTTAGTAGGCTGAGATGGGAGGATCACTTGAGGTCAGGAATTCGAGACCAGTCTGGGTAACATACTGAGACCCCCATGTCTACAATTTTTTTTTTTTTGAGACAGAGTCTCGCTCTGTCACCCACACTAGAGTGCAGTGGCATGACCTTGGCTCACAGCACTTCTGCCTCCTGGGTTCAAGCGATTCTCCTGCCTCAGCCTCCCAAGTAGCTGGGATTACAGATGAACACCACCATATCTGGCTAATTTTTGTATTTTTAGTAGAGACAGGGTTTCACCATGTCAGCCAGGATGGTCGCGAACTCCTGACCCCAAGCAATCCACCTGCCTCAGCCTACGAAAGTGCTGGGATTACAGGCATGAGCCACTGTGCCCAGCCCAAAAAAATATTTTTAATTGAAAAAAAAAAAGTTCTAAGAAGGTAAGACTATGACTAAGAATGCCATATTTTAAACTGGAGTTTTCATTTTAAAAATGCATAAAAGAACTAGAGTTGCGTGATACAATAATTATTTAGCATGTGATAAAGTGGGCCTTTCATTCTAGAATTCTGGGTATCAATTTCTTCTATATGCCTATGCTCATGAGCACACACACGCACACACATCATATTCTCTCAGTCCTCTCTGTCTCTTTTTTTCTGTGTCTCCCAGAGAAAAGAAGCAGGGATAATAAGCAATAGGTTTGGTGTCTACTCGAACTTAATACCTGGAAAGTAAGTACTGGGGATTATTCTCATGTTGGCCATACATGATCTGGGGCAGAACAGTGACAGCAGCAAAAGTTCTCAGAGAAATGAATACAGAAAAGTAGGAAGGTTATGTCCTTGGAAGTCAGAGTGTTCAGCTTTGTGAAGACATTTCTAAACTTTCGACTTTCTGGAACGCTCTCTGGGTTCTGCAAGGAATAAGTAGCTAAAGTGAAGCGAAGAATGACAAGATGATGCAGGCGCTTGAGAATAAGAAGGTGACAAAATCTTGATGCCTGAAGATCAGCAAAAGACAAGTGGCGATGGAGTAGCAAAGCACAGTAAAGCCTCACTGCGGATTCATTGATCCAGGGAGCCAAGGCAGGCAGTGCTATTTTAGACAGCGCCATGAGGGCAGCCTGGCAGATCTGTGCTGATAGGGCACCCTCAAGGCTCACTGGAATGGAGGGAGTTTGAGTGACAGTTGGCTTCTCAATGTAAGTTCTTTCTTATCAGATAATACGACGGATGAACAGCCCAAAAGGTCTCCGCAGACAGAACCTGCAGTGTACATTTGAAACGTTCGCATTGGTACATCAGAGCCCCTCTGCAGTGAGAAGGGCCATCTGAGAACGTGAGCTGAGGAAATTAAAAAAGAAAAGAGTGGTATAAAGGATTTTCAACTTCTACTGACTCAGATTAATGGAACTGGCTCTCTTTTTTCTATTTTAAGCAGGTCACATTTAATATAAACTCATTGTTTTATATATATAAAACATATATTTAAATATATATTAATATATATATTTAAATACATATATTAATATATATAAATATATATATTTAAAATGCCCACAAAATTCAAAAAGAAAAATTCTCTAAACATTCAAATTGACCCTCAGGTTACACAGCTCTCAGAAAAGAAAAAGTGTGCTTTTCTTATCTGTTATTGAATTAGGTGTGCTGACTTCCTGTCTTATCTTTCCACGATAGGTAAAGGATAACAACAAGCTATATTTATGAAATCTGATTTGCCCAGTGTCTGGGCAGCTCCCTGGAAGAAGAGGCATGGACTTTTTTCAGGCTTACATGGCAGTATTTATTTAAAGACTCCCTAAAGATTTTTAAAATTAACGTATCATCTGCAAATACCAAACACACAAACTGAATTTAAGGAGCCACAAGGCAACTTGGTACTTCTGATGTCAGGCTAGAACAATTCATTCTACCCAATAAATCAACATTTTTTAGCCCAAAGCCCTAAGATCATAAGCACCCCATGTTTTATAAAGAATTCCCAGTAAACACTTGAGTTTTCACCAAACAGTATTTCACAAAAATAGTTGCTCAATCATTCTAAATTGCAACAATAATTGAAGTTACAAGCGCCCTGAAACCATTTATTACCAAGCCAGTATGTACCCACCATAAAATGCAGATTCACAAACCTTTTGTGCTTACAGTGAATTTTGAATCTGCTGACTTTTCTTAGACAAGGGTAAGAATAAAAACTTTTTTTCTCTGCTTACAGTGGCAAAAAAGAACAGGGAGAAATAACACATTTTCAAAAGTACTTCCATCACACTTTCAGCTCCTAATAAAAGCATCTGCCCACAAAGATGACATTTTCTCTCTGTTTCTTCCCTTTAAATTGTTTGCTATCACATTGTCAATCAAAAGCAAATTTACACCCTAGACAGATGCAAAGCATAGCCTTTTCCATAGTAGTTTTGAAGACAGTGAGTCATTTGTCTATCAGCCAAAGCCTACAGAGTCTCATTGATTCTGCAACAGGAATGCTCTTTTCAGATTTACTGAAAGTCATAGCTGCTTTCAGCCTAACAGGTTGAAGCCTTCCCTAGGCTACAAATTTACTACGCTATAGAAAGTTTTTTTAGTAACAATTTTGTCCCCTTGGTGGATCTAGGATTCATCTTGATTGCTGCTACCTAAGACAGAAGTGGAAGAGTTTTCTCCTGAAAAGTGTACCGTTGGGCAGGGCATGGTGGATCATGCCTGCAATCCCAGCGCTTCAGGAGGCCAAGGCAGGATGATCACTTGAGCCCAAGAGTTCAAGACCAGGCTGGACAACATAGTGAGATCCCATCCCTACAAAAATAATAATAGTAATAAATACCCAGGTATAGTGACACATGTCTGTAGTTGCAGCTACTCAGGAGGCCACAGTGGGAGGATCACTTGAGGCCAGGAGGTCAAGGCTGCAGTAAGCCATGATCACACCACTGTACTCCAGCCTGGGCAACAGAGCAAGACCCTATCTCCAAAAAAAAAAAAAAGTATAGCACTGGACAAAGCTATCCAACAGAGTATCTTCCCTTTTAAAACTCACAGACCCCTTTGAAAATCCAAGAAAAAGTTATGACTAATTTTCCCAGAAATAAATACATATAAGGGATCACCATAAACATGTGTGATAGTATCTTCCCTTTTAAAACTCACAGACCCCTTTGAAAATCCAATAAAAAGTTATGACTAATTTTCTCAGAAATAAATACACCTAAGGGATCATCGTAAACATGTATGATATGTGGGTTTCAGGATTTCACAAATTCCTGGAGTTTACTCATGGAATCCAGGTTAAAACTCCTGCCCATGGGTTTTGAAATAGGTTCACCTGCCCAGGGAGGTAATTGTTTGTCATTTCTTTGCTGCCTGCATCTGCACAGTGGCTCAAGAAGGTGAACAGCAGACAGAAAACATTTGACTCTATTGACTGGTTTCAAATGGCTGGAGTTTCATTTCCCTGCTATCAGTCTCCTTACACTACACTCCATTTCTCCTCCTTAATGATCATTAAGGACAAAGCTTGAGATAGCACCTTCCTCCTTTCACACACAATCTTAACTTCCTTCTCAGAACCTAATTTCCCCTTACCAGGAAGGCCACACACACAGGGAGACTCATTCTCTAACATGCTATCAACTGCTGCATCCTCCACTTTTTCTTTCGTGGAAAACTTGCCCTTACTGAGTATCTACCACTAGTTACATACACAGAATGGGCCAGGCACAGTGGCTCACACCTATAATCCCAGCACTTTGGGAGGTCAAGGCAGGTGGATCACCTGAGCTCAGGAGTTCGAGACCAGCCTGGACAACATGGAGAAACCTCATCTCTACTAAAAATACAAAAATTAGCCAGGTGTGGTGGTGCACCTGTAATCCTAGCTACTCAGGAGGCTGAAGCAGGAGAATCACTTGAACCTGGGAGGCAGAGTTGCAGTGACCTGAGATCACGCCACTGCACTCCAGCTTGGGCAACAAGAGCAAAACTCCACCTCAAAATAAATAAATAAATACACAGATTGGCTTTCTCACTGTGTGCCTCACATCGTGCAGTTTTCCTGGTATATCCAGAGAGCATCAAAGGGTCACCGCGAGGCTGTCTGTCGAGGTCCTTTCAGGCCGCAGGCCTATCTCCAGGCCTTGGCAATGAGAACAAGCATATTCTTGGCTAATCTAGGCCAGGCATGGTGGCTCATGCCTGTAATCCCAGCACTTTGGGAGGCCGAGGTGGATGAATCACTTGAGCTCAGGAGTTCTCGACCAGCTTGGGCAACATGGCAAAACCCCATCTCTATAAAAAATACAAAAATTAGCCAGCCATGGTGGAGTGTGCCTATAGTCCCAGCTACTTTGGAGGCTGAGATGGAAGGATGGCTTGAGCCCTGGAGGCAGAGGTTGCAGTGAGCCAAGATCATGCCACTGCATTACAGCCTGGGTGACCAGACCCTGTCTCAAAAAAAAAAAAAAAAAGAATTTTCTTGTCTAATCTCTATACACGTCCACCCTACAAAATCAGTTGAATTCCCTCCTTAGCCCCCTTTTGTAATTTTTATTGTCTGATTAGTTAACCCAATAAAAACAGACTTTTAATAAACTAGTATGATTTTTTTAGACACAAAGGCTTACTCTTACTAAGTGAAAGTCAAGATGTGCCTGATCTCCTAATCGTTGATAACAATGATGGGGTTCAGGACAGGCTACCCTAAAATATAGCACCTTGGCATATTGAAGAAAACAGCAGGAGCAGAAAGTTTGCTCTGACCTTTTATAACCTTTTCCTAAAGCAGGTCATAAAACCTAGGAAAGATTTTCTGACCTTTCCCTGAAGCAGTTCATAAGATCCTCATACGATTGTCAGGGAATAATAATTTTAAAAAAGACCCTCAGCCAGGTACAGTGGCTCACACCAGTAATCCCAGCACTTTGGGAGGCTGAGGCGGGTGGATCACTTGAGGTCAGGAGTTTGAGACCAGCCTGGCCAACATAGTGAAACCTTATCTCTACTAAAAATATAAAAATTAGCCAGGCATAGTGGTGGGCACCTGTAATCCCTGCTACTCGGGAGGCTAAGGTGGGAGAATTGCTTGAACCCAGGAGACAGAGGTTGCGATGAGCCGACATGGTGCCATTGCACTCCAGCCTGGGTGACAGAGTGAGACTCCGTTTCAAAAAAAAAAAAAAAAAAAAAACCCTCTTATGAGAAAGACCTTCCCTATATCTGGAGGAAAAAAGGAACATCCTTATCTCTTAAGATGAAAGGACAGAGAAGGATCTGAACGGACTGGCCTTGCTAAGCCTCCTGTCTATTGCCATTAGATCACACTCCCGTCGTCCAATCATAATTCTCCATGACTGTCCACTCTTCATCAAACTTAGCATAAAAATATGCAAGTTTCACCATTCCTTCCTGTCTTCATTGCTTTATGAAGGCTCTTGTGTCACATATAACTAATAGTCAATAAATGTGTATGCTTTTCTCTTATTAATCTGTTAGTTTTCCTTTCAGACCCAGCCAGGGACCCTGGGTCAAGGAAAATTTTTTCCTCCCCTACACTAATTAGCCAAACTGTGGGTACAAAGTAGTTGAAACACATCTAGTTTACTGGTGCACAGTATTTGTGGGCTGTCAATTAACCAACCAAGAAGAAATAATTTGCTCATTTAAGAAATGTTTATGAAGGCCAGGTGTGCTCACTCCTGCCTGTAATCCCAGCATTTTAGGAGGCTGAGAAGGGAGGATCACTTGAGGCCAGGAGTTCAAGACCAGCCTGGGCAACATAGCAAGACCCCATCTCTACAAAAATTAAAAATTAGCTGGCCATGGTGGCACACACCTATCATTCCAGCTACTCAGGATGCTGAGGCAGGAGGATTACTTGAGCTCAGAAGTTTGAGGCTATAGTGAGCTTTGATTATGCCACTGCATTCCAACTTTGATGACAGTGAGATCCTGTCTCAAACATTAGCCA
Organism: Homo sapiens; assembly: GCF_000001405.40. Taxonomy (NCBI): domain Eukaryota; kingdom Metazoa; phylum Chordata; class Mammalia; order Primates; family Hominidae; genus Homo; species Homo sapiens. Next base: position 18,716,461 of record NC_000010.11, on the reverse strand, counting down.
GGCATGGTGGGGTGCCTGTAATCCAGCTACTCGGGAGGCTGAGGCAAGAGAATCGCTTGAACCCATGAGGCCAAGGTTGCAGTGAGCCAAGACCATGCCACCGCTCTTCAGCCTGGGCAACCGAGTGAGACTCTGTCTCCAAAAAAAAAAAAAGGAAATATTTATGTATCTCCTGCTCTATGCCACACTTCTATTACTAATCTGGAAGCACGGGAGGGAGAAGAGGTGACAGATAATGCCCCTTATCCACACAGATTACATTGTTAGGAGAAACGAAACAAAATAAACAGAGTCTTGAACAAAATAATTTCAGACAATGAAAAATGGTATTTAAAAATGAATAATTTTAGAAAGCCAGATGTCATGATATTGACTACGATCCAGGTAACCTTAGGTTTGGAAAGCAAGAAGACCTTATGGGGGAGGTGACATGTGAGTAGAATCTGATTGATAGAAGCAGCCCTGCAAAAACCTGAGAACAGAGCTTTCTAGGCAGTGTGAACAGCGAAGGCAAAATTCTAATGTAGGGAGGAGGCAGGCAATTCATCAAGAAACAGAAAGATGGTCTGTGCAATTGGAACAGACTGAGCCGGTGGGAAAGTATAGAGAGAAAGGGTTCATTTTTTTAGCTTCGGAAGAAGAGTAAGGGAATTTGGATTTTTTTTTTCTTTTTTTTTTTTTTTTTGAGACGGAGTCTGTTGCCCAAGCTGGAGTACAGTGGTCCAATCTCGGGTCACAGCAACCCTGGTCTCCCAGGTTCAAGTGATTCTCCCGCCTCAGCTTCCCGAATAGTAGTAGGCGACCACCACCACACCTGGCCAATTTTTGTATTTTTAGTAGAGATGGGGTTTCAGCATGTTGGCCAGGCTGGTCTCAAACTCCTGACCTCAGGTGATCTGCCCGCCTCAGCCTCCCAAAGTGCTGGGATTACAGGCGTGAGCCACCGTGGCCTGCCAGAATTTGGATTTTAAATTCCAAAAAAAAAAAATGGAGAATTTGAAGCAGAGGGTGTCATAATCCTATTTGTGTTTTGAAAAATTTACATTGCATAGCTGTCATATGCAAATAGACTGTAATGGGGTAAGAGCACAAACAGGAAAGAGAGAAAACCAAGGTGACGTATAGTACTCTAAAGAAAAGCATATTATTCCTCACCTAATTTTTGAAAATTGATTTTTGTTGGCATCTTAACAATTCAAATCCTAACAACAAAAATCACTACCAAATCATAGCACTATAAAGATTAAAAGCTCAAGTTGGTACCGCTGTCTAATGAAATGTTGTTGAATACCACATCTAAAGAGGGGACCCTTTTTGCATGACCTTGCCCACTAAGCATTCTTTGCAGTTCTTTGGAGCATTTAATTTTTAGATGCAGACAATTACCTAAAGCTAACGGCTGCTTCTAAGGTTTTATTGCTTGATTCATTCGAAATAAAACATGCATAATGTAATATTTCAGTTGTGTTTTGCCTACAGCATTGAAGCTTTAAATAACTGTAGATTGCTTATAATATTATATAATTAGAGAGAAATTTTTTAGGAGTCACCTGGTATTTATGCAGAACTGGGATCAGTGCCTAGGAAAAAATGGTTTCTACTGATACCACTATGCTTCAGTCATATTAAGTGCATTTTAAATAAAAGTGACAGCAAGTATGGCTAATAGTAAAAGATAAATAAATAAAAGGGAAAAAAGAAAATAAAAAACACAAGATTGTGCTCATATGACACAAAGACCTATTTTTCATTCAGCACATCTGGATATCTGAACGTTCAAGATTCACAGCTTGAGCTCTTCCTCTAGAATGTTCTGTGTATTTCTTTTTTGCCTCTTCTTCCACTTTCAGCAGAACTATCCCCACTTTTGTAATCATTTACTGTCCAGAATAACCCATCCTGTTTTAGTGGGTTTTTCTCAGTGCTGGCAGGGTAGCTGTGGATCCAGAATTCTGATAATTTTTTTTTCTTCTTTTTTTGGAGACAAGGTCTCACTCTTGTCACCCAGGCTGGAGTGCAGTGGCACAATCATAGCTCACTGCAGCCTCAAATTCCTGGGCTCAAGTGATCCTCCTGCCCCAGCCTCCCAAGAGCTGAAACTATAAGCACGTGCCACCACACCTGGGTAATTTTAGGATTTTTTTCAGAGATGGAGTCTTGCTGTTGACCAGGCTGGTCTCAAACTCCCAGCCTCTAGCAATCCTCCCACCTCTGCCTCCTAACGTACTGGGATAAGGGGTATGAGCCACTGCACTCAACCTTTGATGGCTATTAATGTTTAAGATATTTCTCTGTCCCGATAACCAGAGCATTTGGAACCCCAAGTTATGATACAAAGTCATAATTATTATTCTAATGGGAGAAATTTCAAACACCACTGAAAATTCTAGAAGCACAGTGATGTGGCCAAGTCCCAGGCACCGCACAGATCCCACCAAAGAAGTCCCACCCATCCCCCCACATGGAAAGTTATCTCTGTCAATCACCATCTTCATCACTATCACTCACGCACACAAAAGATGTTCCATACTTTTTAATGTGGACCACCTAAAGTAGAATCAACCATGCAGCAAATACCACCAGCTTCTTCTTCCGTGTAAGTTTAAAAGGTGCTACTTTGAAATGCAGTGACTCCTTCTTCTCACCTTCCTTTCCAAAGATCCTCTTTCTAAAATCTCAGTTCTTACTATGCCAAACAGCAAACGGTTCATATTCAGCACGGTAAACTTTTTAAGCTAATTTACTAGCAATTTTCAGCATTCAGATTTGACAGGCCCAGATTTTTAAAAATTCAATCTCTGTCTCTGATATATAAGGAAAATTAAAATATGGTGAGGCATGGGCCTTGTCATTGCTTAATGAATACCGCACAAAAGGAATATCCTGATGTATTTTTTTCTCAGTAATAGGCCCACTCTCCATTTTTATATTAATCCATTCCGCATGATGACCTAGAAATTGCAGATTAAGGCTTTCGAGTATCTGTACTCATTTTCCAACCTGTTCTATTTGGTGATGTGTTCCTTACAGACATTGAGCAGTTGTCACTTGTCCCGGCATTTCACCAGCTCCCTGCAAACAAGTTATCTGCTGACATGCCGATCTATTATGTAACGTAAGAGAACCACAAGCTTGTATTTCAATGAGTCATAAAAAGCTTGAGAAAGCCCAGCAAAGCATAGTGAGCAAAGAAAAACTTAATTAGTTCAAGTGATACTGACTCAGACAAACATGCTAACTTGCCAACTCCACCAACGTCTGGTTTTCAGAACAGGATTCAGTGGCTATGTCACCTGTACTCAACTTTGGACTTCTAAGCCACGTTTGTGACTGTAGATTGTCAAAGGCCTTCAGAGCCCGGGTCAAGATTGGTTTAATGACAGTGAGAAGCATTCAGACAGGAAGGTATGGTGAGAAAGGGTTCATTTTTTTCAGCTTCATAGCACAAATGAGGGAGTTTGGAGTTTTTCTGAGGGGGTGGTTAGGGGTTATTTTGAGACAAGTTCTCACTCTGTCCCCCAGGCTGGAGTACAGTGGTGCAATCTCAGCTCACTGCAACCTCCACCTCCCAGGCTCAAGCAATCCTCCCAACTCAACCTCCAAAGTAGCCAAAACTACAGGTGCACGCCACCCCACCCGGCTAATTTTTGTATGTTTTGTAGACATGGGGTTTCGCCATGTTGCCCAGGCTGGTCTCGAACCCCTGGGCTCAAGCAATCCACCTACCTCGGCCTCCCAAAGTGCTGGGATTACAGGCGTGAGCCACCATGCCCAGCCAAGTTTGGGTTTTAAATTCAAGGAAAACCAAAAGAAAGTCTGAAGCAGAGGGTGGCATAATCCTATTTGTGTTCTTATATCACACAAACAGATACTCTACTAGGAAGGGAGGCTGTTGCCTCCTACCCAGGAGCAGCTGAGAAGACACACCAGGCAGGTAGCAGAGTTGGTCCTAACCAGGATGACCAACAGCAGGTCTGGGATAGTCAGTGAGATCACAAGAGGGGTCAATGCGGGGTCGGCTTGGCATGAAAGGCTTTCTTCTTCTGCTCACCATGAAGTGATCTCAGGAATCACCAATCATATGACAATTATATTTTGGTCTGAAGTAAACCCTTTGCAGCACCTCTGAAGCAGCACCTGCCTTGCTAAGTGAGCGTGTCTTAGGGGCAGGCTAACAGGAGAAACCCTGGGACTCCAGATTTAAGATCCAATGAACATTTGCCTCAGAAGCCTTCCTGGAAAAGACAGATTCAGTGAGTGGCTTTCAGCTCCCAAGACTGAATTCCAAGACAGTCGTGTGGTCCCATCTTGATTCCCATCTGTGAAACCTGCTTCTTAAAAATAAGTTGCTCCTCTCCTTTCCCTTTCCTGTGGGGACAGCAGCACTGAGGCCCTTGGAGGGGAGAAGGAAGGAGGTGCCAAAATGGTGAGCTGTGATTACAGAGTGTGGTCAGGAGATTGGGATCACAGAGGGGCATGTGTAAGCAAATTGATATATTTTATATATCAAATATATATTTGTCTGTTCTTATCAGACTGCCCAGCTACTTAGATCATAAGTCAAATACTTAAACAGCCCCTGAGCTAACTAGAATTGTGATACACCGTCGGCTACAACAAAATGCAGCAAGACAACCCTAAAAACATCTAAAGCCCCAACCCAACAACCGATAGGCAATGTCCAGGAAGATTGTGACCCCATAGTACTCAGCCTATGAGGAACCAGTGGAGGGACCTGAGGGGATAAATTGCTTGTAACTGTGCTGGGTGTGCCTACCCATCAGACACCCGATCTTGCAAGACCGTCATTAAAAGTCTCACTGTCGCTGTTCTTCAGGTCTCTGAGTCCATTTTTTTGGGTTTGGACAGGTGAGTTTGTTTCTCACAGGGTGACTGGTATAAATTCATGGCTTGTAATTTAGAGAGACAGATGGAGACATATGTGCTGTAATCCCCCTTGGCCACCACGATTTTTATTTCCAAACTTTCAGTTATCTGCGGTCAACCACGGGGGAAAACAGGTGTGTACAGAGGGAGGGAGAAGGGGTCAAACAAAGTTGGAAAATAGGTGTGTAGAGGGAGGGGGAGGGGGAGAGGAAGGGGGAGAGGGAGAGACCACATTCACATCACTTTGAGTGGGGGGTTGGTTGTTGTTTTGGGTTTTTAAATTGCAACATCTGGGAACAGTGGCTCACACCTGTAATCCCAGCACTTTGGGAGGCCGAGGTAGGCGGATCGCTTGAGGTCAGGAGTTCAAGACCATCATGGCTCATATGCTAAAACCCCATCTCTACTTGAAAATACAATTAGCCAGGCGTGGTGGCACGGGCCTGTAGTCCCAGCTACTTGGGAGGCTAAGGTAGGAGAATCACTTGGACCAGGAGGGCGGAGGTTGCAGTGAGCAGAGATCTGTGACACTGCACTCCAGCCTGGGCGACAGAGTAAGACTCCATCTCAAAAACTAAAATTAAATTAAAATAAATGGCAACACCTGAAAAGCCTAAAAACATAATAAGGAAATGTGTTCCCCCCGCTATTTCTGAGAAGAGCAAACATCTATAGTAGTTTCAGGACGCGTAAAGTGATGAAGTCGAGCTAGCAACAGGGATGGCTCGGTCCTTTTTTGAGCTTTCTCTCATTGACTCGGGGAGAAGGAGGCCGCTCTGTGTATTTAGCTGAATTCCCGCGAAACAGGGTGAAGAGAAAAATGGGGCTGCGGGGCGTAACTCCATCTGTCCAAGGCGGGGAGGCTTAGACTCGGGGCTTCTGTGTTGGAAGTGAACACCAGCGTGACACATCATGCTGCCCGGGCAGGGGTCAGCGTCCCCGGGCTGCAGGAAGGTGGGAGGTGGCAGTCCTGACTGGTGGCATACCCTTGCCCCGGGCCCTACTGCATGGGACACCCGCCAGCCGCAGCAGGAGCTTCCCGGGGGTCCCCTCCCTGAGGAGGGCAACGTCTGGGGTCGCTGTGGGGCCAGGTATACCTGTGCCCCCTTCCTCCGCGACCACCCCTCCAAACCCGCCTGCACGCCCGGGTAGGGGACCTGACTCCTGAGGCTAAGGCACCTGGGGCGAGCGCTGTCCTTTGCGGGCCACTCACCAGGCTGAGGAGTCCTCTCAGTGCTTCTCTAGACCCCGGGGTTAACAGCGGCTGAGGAAGGCGCGCGGTGGCGCCGCCGCCAGGCACGTAGAGGGGAAGCCGTGGGGTTTCCCGCGCAGCCGCAGAGAAGGAGGCCGAGCCAGACGGGCAATGCACATCAGTTTCATTAACATATATTGTTAGCATTGTCCTGTTTTATGATTACTTATTGTTGTTCATCTCTAATTTAATTGTGTCTCTATATATAAATTAAACTTTATCATAATCATGTATATATAGAAAAAACTATATATGTGTGTGTGTGTATATATATATACAGTGTGTGTATATATATACAGTGTGTGTATATATATATACAGTGTGTATATATATATACAGTGTGTATATATATATACAGTGTGTGTATATATATATACAGTGTGTATATATATACAGTGTGTGTATATATATATACAGTGTGTGTATATATATACAGTGTGTGTATATATATATACAGTGTGTGTATATATATATACAGTGTGTGTATATATATATACAGTGTGTGTATATATATATATAGGGTTTGGTACCATCTGTGGTTTCAGGTATCCACTGGGAGCCTTGGAACGTGTCCCCTGCAGATGATGGGGGAACCACAGTTGATAGATATGCATATAAACATCGCTATATTTGTGTGTATGTGAGTCCATATATATACACATATACATGGATTTTTTTTTTTTTGCTGATTCTAATTCTAGGGCAGGAAAAATATAAGATGAGCATCTTTGGGTGCCAGAAAGTGAGGAACTGCTCCAGATAAGTTAAAAAAAAAGCAGGGGGGCATGGGAGGGAGACATGTGAAAGGGATAGAGGAACCAACCTAAAAAAGCTCCTGATGTCCAAAGCTAGAACAATTAGGGCAATAAAACAGACAACAGGAGTAGTGGGTTATAACCCAAAGAATAAATTAAACACCTATAAGTAGGTGATTGAATACATAAACAAGCGGGAGAGAAGGGACAAATCTTTTTTACAGAAGAATTCTAAATAATAAATGTGGAAGAATGAGAGGAATAGAAAAGCAGCACTAGAATTCCACAGTAATTATCGCTGCAGGCAAACTTCATTGATGAATGCTAAAATTAGTGGCCAAAACTTTAAGGAGACATACAATATTTGCATAGGAATGGGAAAAATAGTAACTTTACAGGAGAAAAATGTGGCAGACACCACCTTAACCAAGTAATCAAGGTAAACATCATTGGTATGAGTCAAGTACACATTACATCTTCAGTATTCTTCCTAAAAGCCTGTATCATGAAGTATCAGACAAATACACGTTGGGTCTACAAAATACCTGATTGGTCCTCCTTAAACGTGTCGAAGTCATGAAAAACAAAGACATAGAGAAAGCATAAAAGATCAAAGGGCGCTAAGGAGACACGACAACTAAAATGCAGCATGGTATCCTGGATTCAGTTCTGGAACAGAACAAGGACGTTAGAAGAAAAGCTGGTCAAATCCTAGTAAGGCCTGTAGGTTAGTTAATACTGTTGCTCTAATGTTAATTTCTTTATTGTGATCATTGTGTCATTGTTACGTAAGATGTCAACATTAAGGGAAACTGCGTAAAGGATAAACTGGAATTCCCGGTACTAACTTTGCAATTCTTCTGAATGTTTAAAATTATTTTGAAATAAAAAGTTTTATTAAATGACTAGAAAAACAAGCTACTACCTCAGTATTTTACAGTAGGCACGTACACACACACACACACACACACACAGACATACACACACAACCTTTTCTGGCTGTTCAAGCGCTGTTTCTTGTCACTCTGTGGTATTTTCTTTTTCATTGTTATTATTTTTATTTTTTGTAGAGACAAGCAAGGTCTCACTATGTTGCCCAGGCTGGCCTTGAACATTTGGGTTCAAGTGACCCGTCTCCCTTATCCTCCCAAAGTGTTGCGATTACAGGCATGAGCTGCTGCACCAGGCAGTGGTATTTTCTAACTTAAAAATATTTTAGGGCAAGGTACGGTGGCTCATGCCTGTAATTCTAGCACTCTGGGAGGCTGAAGCAGCAGATCACTTGACGTCAGGAGCTTGAGACGAGCCTAGCCAATATGGCAAAATCCATCTCTACTAAAAATATAAAAATTAGCCAGGCATGGTGGTGCACACCTGTAATCCCAGCTACTTAGGAGGCTGAGGAAAGAGAATAGCTTGAACCTGGGAGGCAGAGGGTGCAGTGAGCTAAAATCACACCACTGCACTCCAGCCTGGACAACAGGGCAAGACTCCATCTCAAAAAAAAAAAAAATTAAATTAAAAGATTGACCTGGATCAACAAAATAAGAAGACAAGTCACAGACTAAGAGAAAATATTTGCAAGAGATATATATGATAAAGGACAGATATCCAAAGGAATTCTTAAAACTCAATAATAAGAAAATAAGAAAACAACCCAATTTAAAATGAGCAAAACACCTGAATAGGTACCTCATTGAAGAAAATGTACATATGGTAAATAAGGTTATAAAAAGATGCTCGGCATCACATGCCATCAGGGAAATACAAATTAAAACAACAATGACATACAGCTATATACCTATTAGCATGGCCAAAATCCAGAACATTGACAACACCAAATGCTGGCGAGGATGTGGGTCAGCAGGAATTTTCATTCATTACCAGTGGAAATCCAAATAGTGTATTGGAAAAACAATTTAGCAGTATTGTATAAAATTAAACATATCTTCACCATACAATCCAGCAATCAAGTTCCTTGGTGTTTATCCCAATGAATTGAAAATTGATGTCCACCTAAAAACCTGCACCTGTGTGTTTGTCCATAAACACCATAAATAGGCCAGGCACAGTGGCTCACACCTGTAATCCCAACACTTTGGAAGACTGAGGCGGTTGGATCACTTGAGGTCAGGAGTTTGAGACCAGCCTGAGCAACATGGTGAAACCTCGTCTCTACTAAAAAAAATACATATATACAAAATTAGCTGGGAGTGGTGATGCATGGCTGTAATCTCAGCTATTTGGGAGGCATCTCTGTAATCCCAGCTACTTGGGAGGCATCTCTGTAATCCCAGCTACTTGGGAGGCATCTCTGTAATCCCAGCTACTTGGGAGGCTGAGGCAGGAGAATCACCTGAATTTGGGATGTGGAGGTTGCAGTGAGCTGAGATTGCGCCACTGCACTCCAGCCTCAGCAACAAGAGCGAAACTCCACCTCAAAAAAATAAATAAACACCATAAACATGTAGCAGCTTAATTCATAATTGCCAAAATTTAGAAGCATCCAAGATGTCCTTCAATAAATGAAGGGATAAACTATTGTACATCCAGACAATGTAATATATTATTCAGTGCTAAAAAGAAATGAGCTGCCAAGCTATATGAAGACATGGAGGAACTTTAAGTGCATATTACTAAGTGAAAGAAGCCAATCTGAAGAGGCTGCATAGTGTATGATTCCAACTATATGGCATTTTGAAGAAGGCAAAATCATAAAGAGATCAGTGGGTGCTAGGAATTAGAGGGAGGAAGGATGAATAGGTGAAGCATAGAGGATTTGTGTGGCAATGAAGCTTTTTTTTTTGAGACAGTCTTGCTCTGTTGCCTAGGCTGGAGTGCAGTGGCGTCGGCTCACTGCAACCTCCGCCTCCTGGGTTCAAGCAATTCTCCTGCCTCAGCCTCCCAAGTAGCTGGGATTACAGGTGCACACCACCATGCCCAGCTAATTTTTGTATTTTTAGTAGAGATGGAGTTTCACCATGTTGGTCAGCCTTGTCTTGATCTCCTGAGCTTGTGATCTGCCCGCCTCAGCCTCCCAAAGTGCTGGGATTACAGGCATGAGCCACTGCACCCAGCCTCTTTTGTATAATACTGTAATGGTGAATATTCTTGTTAAAACCCATAGAATGTACGGCACCAAGGGCGAACTTCCATGTCAACTATGGACTTTGGGTGATAATGATGTGTCCATGCAGGTTCATTGATTATAAGAAATGTGATCACACCGATGAAGGATGTGATGGTGAGAGAGGCTGTGCATACGTGAGGGAGGGAGGATTTAGGGAACTCTATGCTTTCTGCTTAAGCTTGCTGTGAGCCTGAAACTGCTTTTAAAAATAAAGTATATTTTTTTAAAATTGGCCCACCCAGGGTAGGCCAGGCACAGTGGCTCATGCCTGTAATCCCAGCACCTTGGGAGGCTCAGGCAGGCAAATGACCTGAGGTCAGGAGTTTGAGACTAGCCTGGCCAACATGCTGAAACCTCGTCTCTACTAGAAGTACAAACATTAGCTGGGCGTGGTGGCACATGCATGTAATCCCAGCTACTTGGGAGTCTGAGGCAGGAGAATCACTTGAAACTGGGAGGCAGAGATTGCAGTGAGCTGAGATCAAGCCATTGCACTCCAGCCTGGGCAACAAGAGCAAAAACAACAACAGCAAAAAAAAAAATAAAAAATAAAAAAAATAAATAAAAAAATCCAGAGTAATGAGTGAAGAAAATTTACAAGAAAATAAAGAAGCTTAATTCTTTTTAAAATATACGTTTACTGAGACACAAAATTTGCTATGTGTCACACATATTCAAAAAGCTTTGTGTACATAATTACACTTAATTTCTGTGAGGTAGCTGCTTTTATTCAGTGAGGATCAGTAACTTGCCGAGAAGGTAGAAACACATGGGTGGTTCTTGCTTTCTGGGAAAACAAAAGACAGAACTGTCCTTAAAAAATTAACTCTTGGCTGGGTGCAGTGGCTCATGCCTGTAATCTCAGCACTACAGGGTGGACCACTTGAGCCTAGGAGTTCAAGACCAGGCTGGGCAACATGGTGAAACCCTGTCTATACAAAAAAAAAAATAATAATTTTAAAAATTAGCCAAGTGTGGTAGCGCACACTTGTAGTCCCAGCTACTCTGGAGGCTGAGGTGGAAGGATCACCTGAGCCCAGGGAGGTCAAGATTGCAGTGAAGCATGATCATGCCACTGCACTCCAGCTTGGGCAACTTACTGAGACTCTGTTTCTACAAAAAATAAATAAAAGTAGCTGGGCATGGTGATATGTGCCTGTAGCCTCAGCTACTTGGGAAGCTGAGCCAGGAAGATCACTGAAGCCCAGGAGTTCAAGACAGCAGTGAACTATGACTGTGGCACTACACTCTAACCTGGGCAACAGAGTGAGACCCCATCACACAAAAAAAGAAAGAAGCAAGAAAGGAAAGAAAGGGAAAGAAAGAGAGAGAGAGGAAGGAAGGAAGGAGAGAAAAAAAGAAAGAAAGAAAGAGAGAGAGAGAGAGAGAGAAAGAAAGAGAAAGAAGGAAGGAAAGAGAGAGAGAAAGAAAGAAAGAGAGGGAGGGAGGGGGAGAGAAAGGAAGGAAGGGAGGGAAAGAGAAAGAAAGAGAAAGAAAGAAAGAAAGAAAGAAAGAAAGAAAGAAAGAAAGAAAGAAAGAAAGAAAGAAAGAAGGAAAGAAAGAAGAAAAAGAGAAAAGAAAGAAAGAAAGAGAAAGAGGAAGGAAGGAATGAGGAAACAATGAAAGAAACTAGCTCAATTTGGGGGCATTAGAATCCTACTCACAATAAGCACCTTGAAATTTTATATTTCTTATGCTAAATTATAATACTAGCCAGAATTTTAAACTACATGGCAGCATGATAATCTCAACAGAAAATTACATTGTTTTTCATGGATCCAGAATGCAATTTTGCTTCATATACCATTACCTTAAACTTGAGCTTTATATAGATTTGTAATGCAAGTACTCAAAAAGGAACTCTATTTCAAAAGGACTCCAATTTTATGCTAATATAAGAAAGCATTTACCAATTAGTTTACATTATCAACATTTGACTCAAAGCAAACTTGATCTATAAGGTATTTATTCCAAACTAATCACGCAAGAAGCTCAAGTCATTAGAAGATACATTGCATTGCAAATAATGTTCTCTTTGAATTTGTCATTTAGAAAATGTAAATGTAAGTTAAGAGATCACAGCAAAGAGTAGATAACCTTAACCAAGGATACTCAGAACTCCCTCCCTAGGGATCTGGAAAATCTAGTGTTAAGGCAAAGGGTAAGGTTAGGGTGGGTTGATCAAGTGCTCTTAATGAAAGCAACCCTTTCATCAGCGGTAAAGAAAAAGACATGGGTGGGACACGGTGACTCACACCTGTAATCCCAGCCCTTTGAGAGGCCAAGACGGGAGAATTGCTTCAGCTCAGGAGTTTGAGACCAGCCCGGGCAACACAGTGAGACCTCCATTACCACAAAAAAAAAAAAAAAAAAAAAAAAAAATTTAATCAGCTGGGCATGGTGGCACGTGCCTATAGGCTGAAGGAGCACTTCATCCCGGGATTTCGAGGCTACAGTGAGCTATGATCACACCACTACAGTCCAGCCTGGGCGAGAGAGCGAGACCTTGTTAAAAAAAAAAAAAAAAAGTGAACAGAATGGGAAGAAAGAAAGAAAAAGACTGGCTTTGCCCCTCGTTGTTCTTCTTTTCTGGTGGCTTCCCATTACCAGTAAAATAAATACCAACGTCCTTAGGATGTTATGCTCATCCTTCCGTCACTGATTCCTAGGCTGCATTTCCAGGCATGATTCTCTAGGTTCCAGCTTGTCAGAATCACTCAGATTCTCCAGGCTCATTCTCGGCTTTCTGGCCTCAGTGCTGTTTGCTCACATATTCCCTCGTCTTAAAATGTCCTCATGCAAGATCAAATGCAAAGGCCACTGTAGCTGAAAAGCTTTCCCAGATCTTATTTCATTCTCCAAATTGAAATGTAGCTCTCCTCCCTCTTCTTGTATTACCAATTCATTTTATACACAGGTAAGCGCACTTACTGCATTCTGCGTGGCGCTACAATTAGCTGAGACAGTCATATCTGCTTTGCAGGGCTGGAATCTAAGGGAGGAGACCACATCGTATTCATTTCGTACCCATCACCTCCAGCACATCTATTACAATCCTGGAGTCATAAACTCACTGTTGGAAGAAAATTTAAGAGCTATTAGCAAATGTCATAAGCTGTCAAGAAATGTTTTTGCCGGGCATGGTGGCAGGCGCCTGTAATCCTTGCTACTTGGGAGACTGAGGCAGGGAGAATTGCTTGAACCCAGGAGGCCGAGGTTGCAGTTAGCCGAGATCGTGCCACTGCACTCCAGCCTGGGCGGCAGAGTGAGACTCTGTCTCAAAAAAATAAAATAAAATAAAAAAGAAAGAAATGTTTGATGCAAGAATGATGGAGTGAAGGTTTAGGGGAAAGGTTAGGAATCGCAAATTAGAAAGAACAGTTATAATTTTAAAATATTTATTAAGAACTTATGTGCCACACAATTCCAAGCCCTTTACATATATTATCTCATTTAATTTGTACAACAGTTCCATAAGGTAGGTATTGTTATCATTCTCATTTTAACAGAGAAGCAAACCAAGACACAGAAGGGTTAAATAATTTGCCCAAGGTGGTGGAGCTAAGGAATGGTGGAGCCAGAATTCATACACAGGCAATCTGACTCTAACATCTATGCTTGTCAGTAAAATACAGTTTAGATAAGGAGCATTTCACACAGAGACAAGGAAACTTCAGGAAGTATATAAAATATGTTTTCCATCCTGGTAATCTTTGGATACCCAAAGAGTACACTGGGTACAAATACCTTGAAGTTAACATCATTACCCGAAATGGTTAACATTCACATAATGTTATAAAATATTCATGTAACTTCCTCAGAAAGCACCTTCCTGTGATTTTTAATGCAAAATCTCCATGAAAGCAACACATTTAGCAGCCAACCCAAGCATCACAGTCACAATGCAGAAAACTCAGTGAATTTAATCAAAAGCATGTACTCCGTGGTCAGGGCCCCTTGAGGAACACTTGCTAGAAAAACTACATGTAGTTTTCATTTTCTATCATCTGGCCTTAAAGTGGCCCTTATTTTTTTCTGTTTAGGAATAATTCAAAACAAGCTGCCTACAGGAACAATTTGTAAAAGGACTAATTTTTTTATAACTTCACTTCTAGATAAATTTTTCAAATTTTCCCATTTCAATCAAAGCTCAATAAAATATTTATAAACTACTGAGGCTAATAGTTTATCCCTTTTCAATTTTTAACCAGAATGGAGTAACACCAAGTATTGATGCCATGTACATTCTCTGCGGCCCCAACATAGAAGAGTTGTTAAGTCTACTTGACTTTAGGAAATGTGTGGATCAATTCAGGTTTCTGAAACCTTCATAAACTCAGCCCATTGTAATCAGAGGGCAAACTCTTAAAGTTGATCATGGAAGTGCCTTGGAAACTAGTACAAGAAGTGTTTGACACGCAAGGGAAGTATGTCTTCGGTTCCTCTTTAATTAAATACACACACACACATACACACACACACACACTTTTCCTGGACTCCCTGCCCACCACTGTGTTGAGAATTTTCTGGGAACACCATTCACAATGTAGTCTAAATAACTGTTCCCATTGTGGGCTCATTCTCTTTCTTGCAAATAGCCTATTCCATTAGGTGGTCTCACAGTATTTCTTGGGAAAACCAGATCCCATGCCTGTCATTCATATTACAAATTACAAATACCAAAACTGATTTATGACTTAAAGATGTACGCTTCATGCATTTTAATGACAGGAAAAAAATACATTGATAGGATTAGAGTCTAATGTTAAGGCCCTGGAATTTCAGCCTCAGTTGGCATATAACAGAAAATATCTGGGGAGATCCAAGCATTTCATCCTTCATGATTAATCACATAGAAGAGCATCTCACTCTCTTATATTAAGCCAATCCTGCTCCTTATTTTTCATGAAACCCCAAAAGCCTTTAGTCCTGGTGTTTCCGTTGGTGAAATTGAAATGTGAGATAGCATAAAAAGAAGTAGGTGGAGAATCAAAAGCCTGAGGCTTAAGTCCAAGGTCACTTCTTGTCAGTAGCTCTAGCCTCAGTTTTGCTATCTTGGACATTGCATTGGTGGGCTCATTCATTTTTTCAATTCATACTAATAAAGCTCCAACTGTAAAATGAGAATGACAGTAACTCCATCTCACAGGGCTGTGATGAGTGTTCAGGGAGTTGACACATGTAAACATTTGGCACACTATCTGTGACATTCTATATTTATAACCAATTGTATTAATCCATTCTTGCACTGCTATAAAGAAATACCTGAGACTGGGTAATTTCTAAAGACAAGAGGTTTGATTGGCTTATGGTTCTGCAGGCTGTACAGGAAGCATGCCTGCTGCCTGGGGAGGCCTCAGGAAACTTACAATCATGGCAGAAGGCGAAGGGGAAGCAGGCTCATCTTACATGGCAGGAGCAGGAGGAAGAGAGTGAGAGAGGACGTGCCACAAACTTTTAAACAACCAGATCTTGTGAGAACAGCACCAAAGGGATGGTGCCAAACCATTCATGAAGGATCCACTCCCATGACCCAATTACCTTCCACCGGGCCCTACCACCAACATTGGGAATTACAGTGGATCCTGAGATTTGATGGGGACACAAATCCAAACCACATGACTAATATTGTTAAATATCCCTAGTTATATGAAATTTACTCTCTAAAGAAATTGTCCCACAACTTCCTTCTTGTTTAAAAAAGCTTGCATTTTCTCTGCCCCGGGTTTTCATTACTCTCTCCCACCACGATGACAGGGCTCCAGATGTTGTTTCCCCTTTCTCAAATTGCATAACACCTCTGATGCTTCATTTTCAATCAGGCTTAATAGGCTCTAATTGCAAACATTACTGATGTGAATGGTGCTACTTCCTGATAAATGAGCTGCCAGCACAGGGTGTCTTGCCACGCCATGTAGCTGAGCACAAAGAAAGAAGTGTCATTCCACAGTTCTCTCTTGGCACCTAGGACGTGGCTGATGGCACCTGGAAGCCTCCCTTTTGCAGGCCACATTGCTTTGCCAGCCACTGATTGTCATCAAAGAATACACTCTAGTGTATTCTATGGTTTGCTTTTGCAAAGAGATTATTTCTAAAATGTTCCAATTGATTGATTTCCAAGCTACTGGCAAACAGAGTTACATAGTGCAGACAGAATAATAGAACATTTTAGTGGCTCTCACATTTGTCTGGGATGAAATTAGTAAAAGACTGTGTTTTGACTCAAGTTTCAGAATGAAAGTTTCCAAGATCAAAGGGCAGACACACACGTGGCTTTATGATACTTTTTGCAAGAATTTTGAGTGACTCCTTTGATTAACATCCACACTGAAAATTAAACATTATCTCTGCCACAGAATCTGTTACACAACTGTTTAAACTTTGAGCGCTTAAGCTCTCAACTTTCCTCACATGTGAATATGTTACAGATGATCCTAAATAAACAGAATGGCCAGGAATGGAGAGCTTGAAACAAATACAGTATGTTCAGCCATAAGTAATACTTGAAAAAAAATTAAGTAATGCATTTGATCAAATTCATTTCACAGAACATGGACAATCTTAAAGAGAGCAGTCAAAATCAGAAAGAAAAAAGTTCTTTTCTTTTTCCTGTTGGATTTGGGAATCTCTAGCCAGGGAGTGTCTTTTCTACAAAGCTTCTCTGACCATGATGAGGTGCTGTTGTCAAACTTAGGCCCTGGAAGATCACTTGCCTCCAGCCATCCAGGTCTTACTTTAGATCCTCTAACTCATTCAGCTTTTCCTCACCTCAGAGGCTTCACATTTGCAGTTCACTCAGTTGTGAACATTCTCCATGCCCGTCCCCCGCAATCTAACTCCCACTTATCCTTCACTTTCAACTTGAACATCACTCCCTCACCACATCATCTTCGACACAATGTCCCCCACTCAGATTTCCTTCTCTTGCACCCTTAAACTCTCATTACTGCCCCACACTGCCTTCATAATGCTCTTCACGCTTGTTATGATTTTCCGCACTGGCCTTCTCCCTGGCATAGATATTCTATGAAGACTGAGACGAGGTCTTCTTCACGTTTGTGTCCTAACACCTAACATGAGGCCTGGCACATTTTTAAGTTCTTAATAAATGTTGAATTCATTGATTAATGTAAGAATGAATAAATCCAGGCATTTTGATGTACTTTTAAAGGAGGGATGTGAATTGGAACCAGGAGACTGTTGCCTTAGAAATGTGACAGCATGGGGATTTTCCCAGCCTGTTCCATTGAATATTCCATGTGTAGATTCCCAGGTATAGATGTGACTTAAAAGACAAATGTGAAACCAGAAGTCCCGTCTTATGAACTGGGCTGTTTCCACATCAATCATCAAGACTAAGAAGTAAGTTGTTCTTTATTAAAGCACACACTCTTGCAATTTGTCATTTTCTAAGGAGTTGAAGGAATAAAAAAAAAATGTATCTAAATGAAAAACCAAAAGGCACAAAAAATCGACTAAAAATCCTGTATTAGTCTGTTCTCATACTGTTATAAAAAACTACCTGAGACTGGGTAATCTGTGAAGAAAAGAGGCTTAATTGACTCACAGTTCCACAGGCTGTAGAGGAGGCATGGCTAGGGAGGCCTCAGGAAACTTACAATCATGGTGGAAGGTTAAGGGAAAGCAAGCAGGTCTTCACGTGACCAGGAGGAGGGGTGGGGGAGGGGGTGCTATATACTTGTATACAAGCAGCATTAGGAGGATGGTGCTATACTATTGGAAACTGTCCCCATGATCTAATCACCTCCCACCAAGCCCCTCCTCCAACACTGAGGATCACAACTCAACATGAGATTTGGGTGGGGACACAGAGCCAAACCATAACAAATCTAAGTTTCAAACTAAGTAAACTGGCCATCAGGGTTAGATGGCAGGTGAAGGGGATCTGTAAGTAGCACTGATTTCCATGGGCACAGACTGCAAGTAGGCCCCTCTAGACTGTAACTGGACCACTGCAAAGGAAGAGAAATCTCCTCACTGGGGCGGGGTGGTGGGGGTAAAATGAAAACACACAAAGAATTTGACCTGAAATTGGGCTAATTATATTGTCTCTATATGGAGACAGCAGTCAGAATACTTAAAAACTGTTATTCTAATGCCTTTTGCATTATGACTGTCAGTGGATCTAGTAACCAGGATAAGATGAACTACACTGTGGTAGCAAATAAAACCTGAAAGCTTGGTGCTTAATAGAACACAAGTTTGTTTGTTTTTTTCCTCTCTCTTGCTACATACCTCTTCCACCTGGAGGTCCCATCATCTTCTGGTTTAAAGTTTAGCCAGAATATAGGGGGAAGAAAACAACCTGGAAGTAAAACAATTGACTCCCACTTACAGTCCACTGAACAGTACTAGTCACAAGGTGAATGTAACTGTTAGGACAATGACAAATGTAGAGGAAAGCACAGATATAGGTGTGTATTTACAGTTTCTTCCATGATGTATTTTGGCATTATAAAGCCATTCTGCTTTTTGACACATGGGTTTGTTTTTGGGTTTTTTTTGTTTTTGTTTTTGTTTTGCGACTGAGTTTCACTCTATCACCAGGCTGGAGTGCAGTGGCACGATCTTGGCTCACTGCAACCTCTGCCTCCCAGGTTCAAGCGATTCTCCTGACTCAGTCTCCCAAATAACTGGGATTATAGGTGCCTGCCACCATGCCCAGCTAATTTTTGTATTTTTAGTAGAGACGAGGTTTCGCCATGTTGGCCAGGCTAGTTTCAAACTCCTGACTTCAGGTGATCTGCCCACCTCAGCCTCCCAAACTGCTGGGATTACAGGTGTGAGCCACTGCTCCCAGCCTGAAGCATGGTCTTGATGTTTAGCTAAAAGAACTATATAATTTATGATAATTGGATTTAGCCCAGATGCTTTTAAAATATACTCGCAGAAACTCAGAGCTTTGCATTTATATTCTTTGGCATTGTGCTCCAGGATATACTTAAGATACTGTATTATTTATTTCTATATAAATTATCTCAAAATTTAGCAGCTTGAAAGAGCATGCGTTTATTATAATATCTCACAGTTTCTATGGGTCAGGAATTTGGATGTGGTTCAGCTGTATACCTCTGGCTCAAGGTCTTTCGTGAGGCTGCAGGTACACTGAGGTTGCCTGAGGTGAGGACTCATCTGAAAGCTCAACTGGGGGAAGATTCACTTCCAAGCTCATTCATATAGTTATTGGCAGAATTCCTTTCCTCACAGGTTGTTGGACTGAGGACTGTGGCTCCTCACTGGCTGTGGGTCAGATGCTATTCTCAGTTTCTTGCACAAATGCCCCTCCATAGAGCTGCTCACAACATGCCAGCTGGCTTCCTTCGGAGAAAGTGTGCAAAAGAACAAGACAGAACAGCCAAAGAAGGAAGCCACAGTCTTCTGTAACCTAATCTCAGAACTGACAGCTATATGTGCCATTTGTCATATTCTATTCATTAGAGGTCAATCACTAGGTCTGGCCCACATTCAAGGGGAGGGGACTATACAAGGGCATGAATACTAGGAGGCAGGAATCATGGGGCTATCTTAAAGGCTGCTTACTACAGACGTCCTTCCAGGCTACCTCATTTTGGCCTCTGTTAGATTCTATTTCAACTCTTTTATTTCTTTGAAGGTTATTTTTTTTTCCTCATATTTAGTCCAGTGAGGGTCACTTTAGTGCTGACAACTAGATTAATTTTAGTACCTTAGGTTTGGATTTCTTCTTAGTTCATGATGTTGAACATGGCCATATATGACAGAAAGATTGAAGAATAATGTGTGAAACCTGTAGTATATCCAAGGTGTGCAGTCATTGGCCGGGCACAGTGGCTCATGCCTGTAATACCAGCACTTTGGGAGGTCGAGGTGGGTGGATAACCTGAGGTCGATCACAGGAGTTTGAGACCAGCCTGGCCAACAGGGTGAAACCCCATCTCTACTAAAAATACAAAAATTAGCCAGGTGTGGTTGTGTGTGCCTGTAATCCCAGTTACTCAGGAGGCTGAGGCAGGAGAATTGCTTGAATCCGGGAGGTGGAGGCTGCAGTGAGCCAAGATTGCACCACCAGCTTCGGCAACAGAGTGAGATCCATCTCAAAAAAAAACCAAAAAACAAAAAACAAAACCAAGATGTGCAGTCATCGAAAAAGGAAAAAGCATGGACTTTCTTCAGCTATCTAGTGTTTTGTATGTACACTTTCCTAGTTAACCTCTTATATGACTTGCTGGGGTTTTTTTAAATTCCACCTGGTGTTACCCTGTTTAAATATCTTTGGGTGAGTGATAAAGGCCTATTATTAAATTTGAGTGCAAACATGCTGATTTATTAGCAATGGCATTTGAAGGATAATTCCACTCATAGAGAACTTTGTTGCCTGCATCAGGGGCTAGGTTAGACTGTGTAACAAACAACCTTAAATATTAAGTGGCAAAAAACTATCAAGATTTATTTTCTACTCCTGCTACACGGACGGCACGGTGAGGGTGGGGAATAATTTACTCCTTGTTGTGATTCAGAGATGCAAGCTGGTTGAGGAACATTATCCCAAATGTCGGTCATGATTCCAGAGAAAACAAGAGAGTTCTGGAAGATCTTACAATGCAATTAAAGATTTGGTCCCGAAGTGACAGATGTCATTTCCACTCTCAAATCACTGGCCAGACCTCCATGAATGGCTTCCCAACCAGAAGGGATCAGGATGTTCAATATTACCATTTTCCCAGAATTGGGAGAACCAGAAATGTTTGAAAACAACTCTAATGACAACCCCTCACATCCCCCATCAAAAATCACTATAAGAAAATCTTTTGGCTGGGCGCAGTGACTCACGCCTGTAATCCCAGCACCTTGGGAGGCCAAGGCGGGCGGATCACGAGGTCAGGAGATCGGGACCATCCTGGCTAACACGGTGAAACCCCGTCTCTACTAAAAATACAAAAAAAGTTAGCCGGGCGTGGGGGTGGGCACCTGTAGTCCCAGCTGCTCGGGAGGCTGAGGCAGAAGAATGGCGTGAACCCGGGAGGCGGAGCTTGCAGTGAGCCGAGATCGCGCCACTGCACTCCAGCCTGGGGGACAGAGTGAGACTCCGTCTAAAAATAAAATAAAATAAAATAAAATCTTTTTTATTTTTCTTTTCAACTTGAAGGTCAAGCAATACTGTTAATATGTTCAGATTTCATTGTGTAATCATATAACAATTAATATTCTTTCTTCAAGGCTGGGCACGGTGGCTCATGCCTGTAATTCCGGCGCTTTGGCGCTTTGGGAGGCCGAGGCGGGCGGTTCACCTGAGGTCAGGAGTTCCAGACCAGCCTGGCCAACATGATGAAACCCCATCTTTACTGAAAATACAAAATTAGCCAGGCATAGTGGCGGGCGCCTGTAATCCCAGCTACTCGAGAGGCTGAGGCAGGAGAATTGCTTGAACCCGGGAGGCAGAGGTTACAATAAGCCAAGATCACACCACTGCACTCCAGCCAGGGTGACAGAGAGAGACTCCATCTCAAAAAAAAAAAAAAAAAGAAAGAAAAGAAAAAAAGAAAGAAAGAAAAGAAAACAACAACAACAACATCAAAAACCGACAGAGAGATCTTCCCTGAGCAGCCTTTCGCTTCCTATTATCTTGTCCTGCTTTTCTCTATAGTACGTAGCCCTGGAATTACACTATATATTCATTCATGTATTATTCTTGATAAAATGAAAGCCTCCTGAAAGCAGGAACTTTATTGTAGTCACTGCCTCCTACAGTAACAGATGGACTCGGTAAGAGTCAAGAGCACTTAGAAGATCCAGTCAACAAAGTAATTGTAGCAGAACTCAAATCCAGAAAGGCAAGAAGTTTTTGTTTCTAGCACTTTAAACTCTCCTACCTAACAAAGTGCCATACTGCACAATCCTTTGTAAGTATTTGTTGTTGAAATTTATGAATAAATGCCCAAAGTGAAAAGAATTTGTGTTGCCGATTCTTCAAAGGTGCAATAAAATATTTTTCTCAGCTAATACCTTCTAACTGCATGGCAGCCAGGAAAAAAAAAAACAAACATGCAGTTGCAGAGGAACCTGGTAGAGCCTTCTGAAAGGTATAAAGAGATTAGAAATTCAAAATTGCTCATCTCTGGCCTAAATTATTAGCAGAGTGGACCTGAAAAGGCCTCTCAGTGGAGCTAGCCTAATTCTGCAGTCTGAAAGCAACATTGCTACATTCCTTTGAAGAAATAAACTTGAAATTTTCTATCGCAGTCAGAGCCTAGAGGAGAAGGCAAATACCTGCGCACCTGCACTACAACCTCTTCTTCCAACACGACAGAAAATGCTTGTCAGTTGTAACATCCTTTCCCTCTGAACCTAGCCTCAGCCCCAGATTCCTCAGCAAGACTCTGCTAGAAGTCATGACAATCAGTACTTGAATGCATCCTCCAAAAGTTCAAGTATTGGAAACTGTTCTCATGAACAGATTGATGGATTAATGAGGGCTCTGCCCTCATAAATGAATTAATGTCCCTATCACAGGGATGGGTTTATTATCACAGAAATGGCTTTCTTTTTCTTTCTTCTTCTTCTTCTTCTTCTTCTTCTTCTTTTTTTTTGAGACAGAGTCTCGGTCTGCTGCCCAGGCTGGAGTGCAATGGTGAGATCTTGGCTCGCTGCAAGCTCCGCCTCCTGGGTTCAAGCAATTCTCCTGCCTCAGCCTCTCAAGTAGCTGGGACTACAGACACGCACCACCACGCCTGGTTAATTTTTGTATTTTTACTAGAGATGGGGTGTCACCATGTTGGCCAGGCTGGTCTTGAACTCCTGACCTCACGTGATACACCTACCTTGACCTCCCAAATCACTGGGATTACAGGTGTAAGCCACCACACCCAGCAGAAATGGCTTTCTTATGAAAACAAGCTTTCCATGGCTCTCTTGTACTTGCTCTGTGTCTCTATGTGATTCCTCCTGCCATGTCATGACACAGCAGTAAGGTCCTTACATGACCCCAGCACCATGCTCTTGAACTTTCCAGCCTCCAGAACAATGAGCTAAATCGACTTTTATTCGTTATAAATTACCCAGCTGATGATATTCAATTATAGCAACCGAAATGGTCTAAGACAGTACTCTAGATGACATTTGTCACTGTTGCTTATACAGTCATGTGTCACTTAACGACAGGGATACATTCTAAGAAATCTGACCTTAGGTGATTTTGTTGTTGTGTGAACACCGTAGAGTGTACTTCCACAAACCTAGAGGGACTAGCTTACTAAACACCTAGGCTATATGGTATAGCCTATCGCCCCTAGGCTATAAAGCAGTACAGCATGTGACTGTGCCGAATACTGTGGGCAACTGTAACACAATGGTAAGTATTTGTGTATGTAAACATATCTAAACATAGAAAAGGTACAGCAAGGCCGGGCGCGGTGGCTCATTCCTGTAATCCCAGCACTTTGGGAGGCCGAGGCGGGCGGATCACGAGGTCAGAAGTTCGAGACCTGCCTGGCCAATATGGTGAAACCCAGTCTCTACTAAAAATACAAAAATTAGCTGGGTGTGGTGGTGTGCATGTGTAATCCCAGCTACTCAGGAGGCTGAGGCAGAAGAATCGGTTGAACCCAGAAGGCAGAGGTTGCAGCGAGCCATGAGCCAAGATCATGCCACTGCACTCCAGCCTGGGCAACAGAGGGAGACTCTGCCTCAAAAAAAAAAAAAAAAAAAAAAATTGGGGGGTTGTGGGGGCAGGCGCGGTGGCTCACATCTGTAATCCCAGCACTTTGGGAGGCTAAGGCGGGCAGATCACCTGACATCAGGAGTTTGAGACCAGCCTGTCTAATATGGCGAAACCCTATCTCTACGAAAAATACAAAAATTTGCTGGGTGTGGTGGTGCACGCCTGTAATCCCATCTGCTTGCAAGGCTGAGGCAGGAGAATCACTTGAACCCAGGAGGGGGAGGTTGCAGCACTCCAGCCTGGGTGACAGAGCGAGACCCTGTCTCAGAAAAAAACAAAAAAAAACAAAGAAAGAAGAAAAGGTACAGCAAAAACATGGTATAAAAGATAAAAAATGGTACACCTGCATAGGGCCCTTACCATGAACACTGGAGGTTGCTCTGGGTGAGTCAATGAATGAGTACTGAATGAATGTGAAGGCCTAGGATATTACTGTACACTACTGTAGACTTTAAAAACACTGTACACTTATATTACACTAAATTTATTTTTAAAAAGTTTAATAATAAATTTACCTTAGCTTACTTTAACTTTTTTACTTTATAAACTTTTCAATATTGTTAACTTTTTGCCTCTTTTATAATACACAAACATTCTACAGCTGTACAAAACTATTTTCTCTCTATCCTTATTCTATAAGCTTTTTTTCTATTCTAAATTCATTTTACTTTATTTTTTACTTTTTTTTTTTCTTTTTGAAACAGAGTCTCTGTGACCCAGGTGGGAGTGCAGTGGTGTGATCTCGGCTCATTGCAACCTCTGCCTCCTGGGTTCAAATGATTCTTCTCCCTCAGCCTCCTGAGTTGAGTAGCTGGGATTACAGACTTGTGGCACCACACCTGGCAATTTTTTTTTTTTTTTTTTTTTTGGTAGAGATGGTGTTTCACCATGTTGGCCAGACTGGTCTCAAACTCCTGACCTCAAGTGATCATCCACCTCAGCCTCCCAAGGTGCTGGGATTACAGGTGTGAGCCACCATGCCCAGCCTACTTTTTTACTTTTTAAATGCTTTTATTTGAAACCAAGACACAAACAAGCATATTAGCCTATGCATGGTCAGGATCATCAATATCACTGTCTTCCACCCTCCCATTTCATCCCACTGGAAGGTCTTCAGGGCAATAACATGCATGGAGCTCTCATCTCCAATGATAATAATGCCTTCTCCTGAAATTTCTTCTGAAAGGCTGGCCTGATGCTGTTTTACAGTTAACTTTTTAAAATCAATAGAAGGAGTACACTCTCAAATAACAATATAAATGATGTTATAGTAGATACAAGAAGTAGTAATATAGTTGTTTATTATCATTATCATGCAGTATGTAGTCTATATAATTATATGGGCTTTGCTTTTATACGACTGGCAGTGCAGGTTTCTTTATACCAGCTTCCCCACAAGCCTGTGAGCAACAATGCTTTGTGCTGTGACATTACGATGGCTACAATGTCACTGGGCAACAGTAATTTTTTAGCTCCATTATAATATTTTTGTTTTTGTTTTTCTTTTCTTTTCTTTTCTTTTTTTTTTTTTTGAGACAGTGTCTCATTCTGTCACCCAGGCTGGAGTGCAGTGGCACACTCCAGAAATCAGTTGCCCAGGCTGGAGTGCAGTGGTGCCGTCTCGGCTCACGACAACTTCCACCTCCCGGGTTCATGTGATTCTCCTGCCTCAGCCTCACGAGTAGCTGGGATTACAGGCACATGCCACCACACCTGGATAATTTTTGTATTTTTGGTAGAGACGGGGTTTCACCATGTTGACCAGGCTGGCCTCAAACTCCTGACCTCAGGTGATCCACCCACCTGGGCCTCCCCAAGTGCTGGAATTACAGGTGTGAACCACCGTGCCCGGTCTGTTCCATTATAATCTTACGGGATCATAATTGTACATGTGGTCCCTTGTTGACCAGAACATTGTTTGCAGCACGTGACTGTGTCAGTCACTCATAGGCAAAATTATCAGAGTGAGAAATCACAAATCATTATCTTGCTCTGTTGCTACAACAAAACTTACAGACCTCAGATCTCAATACGGGTAAATCTAAAATTCCGAAATCAGTCTTTGTTACTTCATCCCTGTACAAGTAGACAAAGAGTGATCTTCATTTGGGAGGCATGTGATGCAGGCTTTTTGTGGGGAAAAGATGATCCCTTTTAAAAAGAAAGGTTAGGTTTCAACCCGTGAGTACATCTCCTTAGATGTTTCAGATCAAAGTTGGGAATGTGACCTGTATTCAAATCAATTCTAATTCATAAGTATTTCTAGAGTGTCTGTTATGTGGAAAATTCATTTTCTGGTAGAAACAGGTTATTGAGAAATGGAAGTAAACTAATAGATCTCCAATAGCAATTGTATTCAGAGACAACACTGCATTATATGATAAACTATTATAAATAAATGATAATTGCTAAGGGATCTGATTTGAATTCCATTTTTCAGATACAATGAATTCAAACTTCTTAATAACTAAGCCAAGTCTATTCTAGTCTATTTGAAATAAACTCTTAAAAAGTTTATTTTTGAAATTTCTATGGGGAAAAAAAATTGCCAGTAAACAAATTTGCAACATAAAGGCAAGTGCGACAGTGTATTTCACCAGTAAACACATTTGCAACATAAAAGTAAATGCGACAGTGTATTTCACCAAATAAGAGGGTAATTTTCAAGGACTACAGCAACATTCACTGGGCAGCAATAATAAATATCAGTTAATGAATCTCATCTACCCTTTAAAGCCAGTCTAGTGGGATCTATATTTTGGCAAAGTAATTAGCAATGTACTCAAGATAGCATAGCTTTGATTATCAAACATTCTGAATTTTTTTTAAAAAATTATTATTTAGATTTATCATTTGTGTACCTAGGCCTATTCTTCCTGTGACTTTAGGCTGGCGAGGTGTTATCTGCACAAAGAAAATTTTAAATATGTATTCAGTTACCAAATAACTTTAAAACTTCTGTAATAAGAAACGTTCAAATAATAGCGAAGAGGATTCAACAGTGCAAAATAAAATCCTATTCTGCCATCTAGAGGAAACACACTGTCTAGAAAACTAATTTACCTCTTGATGGCCCCTGAAGCTTAAAGTTAGAAGAAATATTCTGTTTAAAAAGAGAGGGGAGGAGTTGTGAGAGGCTGGGTATTTTTTTCTATGCCACCATATCAGGTTTTATCAAAGAGAAGAAAATAATATTTCAAAAAGCACTTTTTAAAAAACAGCATTCACCTGTCTTCCTCTTCTGAGTCACATTTAAGTTATATTCATATTTAAACTCCTCTGGAGTTCTTTATTAAATGACAAACAAAAAAAAAAGAGAGAGAGAGAAGGAGAAGAACAAGAAGATCAAGAAGAACAAGGTCAGCTGGGTGCGGTGGCTCACACCTGTAATCCCAGCACTTTGGAAGGCCGAGGTAGGCAGATCACTTGAGGTCAGGAGTTCGAGACCAGCCTGGACAACATGGTAAAACCCCACCTCTACCAAAAATACAAAAATTAGCTGGGTGTGGTGGCACGTGCCTGTAAACCTAGCTACTTATGAGTCTGAGGCAGGAGAATTACTTGAACCCGGGAGGCCGAGGTTGCAGTGAACCTAGATTGCACCACTGCACTCCAGCCTGGGTGACAGAGTGAGACTCTGAACAAGGTCAAGAAGAACAAGAAATACATCCCTTAACTTACCGTGACATGGGTTTACTGACTGTCAGGACTAGAGAATGGAAAAAAGGAGAAGGCAGGAGAGAGAAAGAGAATGATGAGAAGGAAAAGGAGGAAGAAGAAGGCAGTGGGAAGAAGAGGAGAAGCAAGAGGGAAGAAAGGAAGAGGAGAGAGAAAAATGAGGAAGAAGAAAATAAGAAAGAGGAGGAAGAGGAGAGAGAGAGGATGAGAAGGAAAACAAACCCCAAAGCCTCTCATTTACTGATTACATATTTTATTGCTAATGCTTCAGCTTAAACTATCTTTTGTGATTGTTTACATTGTAGTTTTCTAATACCATATTAACATTTTTTTCTTTTTTCTTTTTTTTTTTTTTTTTGATGGTTTCTGGCTCTGCTGCCCATGCTGAAGTGCAGTGGTGCAATCTTGGCTCACTGCAACCTCCTCCTCCCAGGTTCAAGCAATTCTCCTGCCTCAGTGTCCCAAGTAGCTGGGACTACAGGCACTCACCACCATGCTCTGGCTAATTTTTGTATTTTTAGTAGAGACGGGGTTTCACCATGTTGGCCAGGTAGATCTCAAACTCTTGACCTCAGGTGATCCGCCCCCTCAGCCTCCCAAAGTTCTGGGATTACAGATGTAAGCCACCGCACCTGGCCCAGATTTTAAAATTTTCTTAGCTAATATATACCTACTGTTAAACAGTATTATAAACTGCAATATATCTGTTACAGGTACATTGTATTTGATTTTCAGAGCATATTACATATATGATTTTTTTAAAATCAGGAACGACTTCATAACAGAAAGGAACATTAAGAATAATCTATGTCAGCCGGCGGTGGTGACTCAATGCCTGTAATCCCATTTTGGGAGGCCGAGGTGGGCGGATCACCTGAGGTTAGGAGTTTGAGACCAGTCTGGCCAACACAGTGAAACCCCGTCTCTACTAAACATACACAAAAATTAGCCAGGTATTGTTTTATTTGTTTATTTCTTGTAGAGATGGAGTCTTACTATGTTGCCCAGGCTGGTCTCAAACTCCTGGGATCAGGCAGTCCCTCCCACTTCGGCCTCCCAAAGTGCTGGGATTGCAGGCATGAGCCACCAGGTTGCTGCACAAGCCATCTGGCTTGTTCTCCTGTTCTCTTTCTTGATCAGTGTACTGCTGACATGCATAGTTTCAATTTGTGAAAATTCCTGAACTGTCCACTTCTGGAATGTGCACTTTCCTGTACCTGTATTACCCTTCACGTTAAAAACTCGCAAATAAAATGAAAAGTTAATTTGGGGAAAGAAAAAAAAATGAGCTGTCAAGCAATGAGAAGACACGCGGGAAGTTTAAATGCATATTACCATGAAAAAAGCGAATCTGAAAAGGCTACATACTGTATGATTCTAACTATATGACATTCTCCAAAAGGCAAAATTATACAGACAGCAAAAAGATCAGTGGCTGTCAGGGGTTAGGTGGAAGGGAAGGAGGAACAGGCAAAGCAGAGGGATTTTAGAACACTGAAAGTATTCTGTATGATATTATAATGGTGAGTGCATGTTATTATGCATGCGTCAAACCCCATAGAATCTACAATACCAAGAGTAAACCCTATGGACTTTGGGTGACGATGACGTGCCCTGTAGGTTCTTCAGTCATAACAAATGTACCGCTGTGGTACAGGATGTTGACAGTAAGGGAGGCTGTGTGGGGGTGGGAGGGAATGGCAGATGGTATATGGGAACTCTTTATACTTTCTCCTCAATGTTTCTGTGAATCGAAAGGATAAAGCCTATTTTAGTCCAGGCGTGGTGGCTCACACCTGTAATCCCAGCACTTTGGAAGGCCGAGGTGGGCAGATCATGAGGTCAGGAGTTCGAGACCAGCCTGGCCAACATGGTCAAATCCCATCTCTACTAAAAATACAAAAATTAGCCGGGCATGATGGCGAGTGCCTGTAATCCCAGCTACTCGGGAGGCTGAGGCAGGAGAATCGCTTGAACCCAGGAGGTGGAGGTTGCACTGATTCAAGATCGCACCATTGCACTCCAGCCTGGGCAACAAAAGTGAAAACTCACGTCAATAAATAAATAAATAAAATAAAAATTTAACAAAATAAGAGTAAAGTCTGTTTTTTAAAAAAGGAAAGGGGTATCCCTGGCAACTGTTTGATTCTGCATTCTCCCAAACCTGCTTGCTAAGGATATAAAAGGCTTTTATTCACTCTCAGGATATTCCCAGTCACCCCATTTGTTGGGTGGGGTTTGTGTCTCATTAACTCTCACCACTAGCCTGGAGATAAAGTAACCTTAAAAGCTGGATAGGGCCAGGTGCAGTGGCTCATGCCTGTAATCTCAGCACTTTGGAAGGCCGAGGTGGGCGGATCACTTGAGGTCGGGAGTTTGAGACCAGCCTGGCCAACATGGTGAAAACCCACCTCTACTGAAAAATACAAAAATTAGCCAGGCGTGGTGGCACATGCCTGTAATTCCAGCTACTCGGGAGCTGAGGCAGGGGAATTGCTGGAACCCAGGAGGCGGAGGTTGCAATGAGCAGAGATCGCGCCACTGCACTCCAGCCTGGGCGACAGAGTGACACTCTGTCTAAAAAAATAAAATAAAATAAAGCTGGATATTGCCATTTTCCAGGCTCTCAGATTGGAGTTTGCCAGGCTCTTTTTCCTACTTTAAGTCCAGCAAGCTTGGGTTGCTATGGCTAATGTTAGTGTATTCTATCTGAATTCCCAATATATGTTCAGCTGAGGAACCCTTATTTTCCTCTCTCAGGGTTCTTCCCTATGACTGATGAGCACCACCCTGTCCCCTCCACCAGCTTTCTCCCTGCACAGTGTGTTCGGTCCATCTCTTCACTTTTCCTCCAGAAATAATAATGGTCTCACTTTGTTAAAGCAAAAGGCCACCAGTGAATATGTAAAACAGATATTCCTTCCAAAGCAAGGAAGAGTTGGGTTTATAAGGCAGTGGTTCTCAAACTTTAACTTCCATTGGAATCATCTGAAGGGCTTGTTGAACTAGATTTCTGGGCCCTTACCTTGAGAGTTTCTAATATAAAAAGTCTGGGATGGAGTCTGAAAATCTGCATTTCTAACAAGTTCCTAGTTGATGCTGACATCATTGTTTGAGAATCACTCTAAGGGTTAGTCTCTATGAGCAAAAATACGGTTTGAATGGAACACAGGGAATTGGAAGAGTTTCAATCTTCTTATCAAATTCCCCCAGTGGAAGCATGATCATTCACTTTCACTGACTGGCTGACTTTCTGAAGCATTGGCTCGTCACTGATTCGTCACTGATTGATTGTCAGAGACGTACGCATTCATGTGGGGCTGTCGTTCTTACCTGTAGGGATATAGCAAAAAGACAGTATTTTTCCTTTCTTGAATCTGGAGTACAAAACCTTTTTATTCTCAGTTTTATGGGCGCATACCCATATTGGCCCTTCCCCATCAAAAGCAGGGTTATTAGTTTCTCCCATTAAGAGAGTGCACCACAATTTGTCTTACTGGTAGGTTATCATCAAAGGAGTCTCATCTAGAAATGTAGGGGCTGGTCTACAGAGTGGGATTCATTGGAGTCACTGGAAGTTATAACTCTACTGAGGACTCCACCATTCAGCAAAATTAATCAGGGCTGAATTGTTGTAATTCTTTGTTTTTCCTTATTAACTCAGACCTGAACAATCTGTATATAACCACCCAACAGGTGGATTCGCCTTGCTTGCTGCCTAGACAGAGATGACTTATCAAGACAGGAGAACTGCAATAGAGAAAGAGTAATCCATGCACAGCCTGACAATTCAGAGACTGGAGGTTTTAAAGATAATTTGGTAGGTAGGGGGCCAGTGAATCGGGGGTTCTGATTGGTCAGGTCAAAGATGAAATCACAGGGAGTTGAAGCTGCCCTGAGTCACTTCCTGGGTGAGGACCACAAGACAAGAGCCAGTTTATTGATCTGGGTGGTGCCTGCTGATCCACTGAGTGCAGGGTCTACAAAATATCTCAAACACTGATCTTAGGTTTTACAATAGTGATGTTATCCCCAGGAGCAATCTGGGGAGGTTTAGAATCGTGCAGCCTACAGCTGCATGACTCCTAAACAATAATTTCTAATCTTTTGGCTAATGTGTTAGTCCCACAAAGGAAGTCTAGTCACCAGCCAAGAAGGGGATTTGTCTTGGGAAAGGGCTATCGTTTTTGTTTCAAACTATAAACTGAGTTCCTCCCAAAGTTAGTTCAGCCAGCTCCCAGGAATGAACAAGGACAGCTTGGAGGTTAAAAGCTCTTAAAAGATGGAGTTGGTTGGGTCAGATCTCTTTCACTGTCTCAGTTATTATTTTGCAATGGTGGTTTCATGTATGCCACAGGCTCCAGGAAATAAAGGAGATGGATGGGAAATCAACGTCTCTTTTTCCCTATCAAATTTCTCCTTACCACAGTCATACATATAACTATCACTGGGGCATTCTGTGGGTTTGGGGGTAGAATCAGCCACAGCCCTAATCTCACCCTGGGAAACCCTCAGAGGTGGAACATGGTCTCAAGTACTTTTGAATGAGGGTGGTAACTACAACCACATGAAGCTGGCCATTTCCAGAGAGCAATACTGGATACAATAATAAGTGGTGGGGACATATGTTCAAGTTACTGATTTGTTAAATTGTGCACATTGTTTCATGCACGTCATGTAAGTTATAATTTTCTCAAAGGAAATTATAACTTTGACAAGGAAAGAAAAAACAGGTTTGAAAAGGAGCCACTGTTCTTGTTTGCATCCGTGTTTGCTTTTTGTTTTGTTTATAAGCAGAGGGAGTTAGAGTTCCTATTTAGCTCAGGCAGGCATATAGCTAAGAATTCCCTCAGAATGTGAAATCCTTCTCCAAGCCTTTTCTCTCCACCTCTTCTGAGCCACAGGGTCCCTGTTCTGAATACAAATTGCCGTTGCTAGCCAAGTGACTTCCATTATGCCTATGCATCCCCTGAACTTTGTTTTTGGGCAAAGCATATATGGAGGAAATTTTTTCATTTCCCTTTCATTCTGTCAGTAAGAGAAAACGAAGCCAGAGCTCAAGTTTCTTGAACCTTTCTCCCTGGTAGTGAACAGCTTTAGAACCACATGCATCTGGGCCGGGCGTGGTGGCTCACGCCTGTAATCCCAGCACTATGGGAGGCCGAGGCGGGCAGATCACCTGAGGTCAGTTTTTTGTAAAAGTACAAAAAAATTTCCCTGTAATTGGTGCATGCCTGTAATCCCAGCTACTTGGGAGGTTGAGGCATGAGAGTTGCTTGAACCCAGGAAGAAGAGGTTGCAGTGTTATTTTAAATTGAATATGAAAATACCATAATTCAGAACAGAGCCATAGATCAGATGATCCCTATCAAGTATGAAGTATCTTGATGTTGAGTCATATAGTGTCATCTGCCAAAATAAGGTGACTAATTTGAAAGAAGTGATAAAACAGCCAATCCCATTTTGGAAGACGTGCATTCATTGTTATTATCAAACTGAAACTACATTTGTTTCTGTTGCAGAATAATCCTCAAGTATAGCAACATCAAATCTCCAAGTCCTCACAAAAATGTCAGGTCAAAAATCTCAGATGTGAATTCAAATTTGCTGAGGAGTATACATATTTCTTAGTAGGAAGGGTTTTTTAAACAAAGAAAGGTTAAATCAAGAATCAGTGTATGAGCCGGGCACAGTGGCTCACGCCTGTAAACCCAGCACTTTGAGAGGTCGAAGCGGGCAGATGGCTTGAGCCCAAAAGTTCGAGACTAGCCTGGGGAACATGGCGGGACATCTCTACAAAAAGTACAAAAAAATTACGCGGGTGTAGTGGCACATGCCTGTGGTCCCAGCTACTCGGGAGGCTGAGATGGGAGGATCACTTGAGCCTGGGAGGCAAAGGTTGCAGTGAGCCAGTATCGCAAGTGGCCACCTGCCAGCATGTGAGGGTTTTGTTCAGGATGCTCTTTTAGCTCACATGCAGTAGAATTAATTCCCCAAGACATGTGAATGTGTTACCTTACCTGGCATAAGGGCCTCAAGATGGGAAGGTTATCCTGGATTATCAAGGAAAACCTAGTTAGAAACACTAGGGTCCTTAATATGAGAAAAGCATAGGATGATGAGAATGGGTAGATGTGTTGACAGAAGCCAGATGGTGGAGTGATGTGAGGAAGGGGCCATGAGCCGAGAAATGCACACAGCCTCTAAAAGCTGAAAAAGGTGAGGATGAGTTCTCTCCTGAACCTTGAGGAGAAACACAGCCCTGCTGGCACCTTAATTTTAGACTGTTTTAAATCACAAAATTGGGGATAATTAGTCAAAACCAGTGATTATCTGCGGATGGGGAGTGGAGCAGAAGGGAGGATTACAAAGCGACACTAGGAAACTTTTGGAGTGACAGGTATTTTCATTACCCAGATTGTGGTGAAGATTTTGCAAATGTATACACATCAAAGCTTTTCAAATTGTACACTTTAACCACGAACAGTTTAATGCATTCATTATACCTACAAAAATACCTACATAAAACATGCTTTAAAAAAGATACCAATCTTAAGTTTACTGATTAAAAAATAACAGGCAGAATGAAATCTTACTAGTTTCTGGTGTCTTTCAGAAGAAATCTGAGTGTTCCGTGTGTAGCAGAACTCTTAAGCCTAGGTACCTGAAATTCCTAACCTTCTACTCAAAATTCCTAACTCTGTAATTATGAGTCATTTTTCTACGTAGGCAACTTTTATCACATTCCCAAAGAGGTCTGTGAGCAAAAACGGTGGAGTTAAAACCACTTTAGAGGAATGTGAAGAATGAACATAGTGAAAATGTTATCCCACTCATTATTAGATCTCAATTTTATTTTATTTTTTACAAGGACACAACTTTGGTAGATGATCCCAATTATACCCCACAATGGAGTACACACCAATCCGGATCACCTTCCCAGGCCAGGGATTCCCCTTCTCTGGTAAATGCACCTTCCACTTGGCCAGTTGTTTAGATCAGAGAGAGGAAATGACCCAATGCAGGCTAATGAACAATTTCCCTGGGGAATATGGAATTGTAATTGAAAGTCTAACAATAATCTGACTTCTCCCTTGTACAAATTTAGGAGGCTACTGGACTTGGGACATTATCTGTTATGTGGATCAGGAAACAGAGAAATCCAGTCAGGTGAAAGACAGAAACAGATGAGCAGGAAAAAAGGTAACTTCCTGCTTGCTCCTAAATGGTCCAGTCTCTAGTCTCAGTCTGTTCTACAAATCCAGTTGTTCCGTGGGTTCTGTGAGCCTCCACCACCTCACCCCAATTATCCTCTCTTTGTTGGCATAGGTGGGTTTCTATTATTTGCAAGCAAATAACTTAAAGCAGATTTACCTTTAAAAGAAAACACTGGATTCACTTCGTATTGGAAAAGTAATTATTTATTATGACAAAAATAAAACTGTTGAATGAAAACAAATGAATGTTACACTATATTGCACCATGATTGGAAATGAGCCAAAACCTGTCTAAAAGATGAACATTCCAGAGCAAACAGCATCGTTTTACTTGGGTTAAGTAGGCATGCAAACAACTCATTATAACATAATTGCAGAAATAAAAATTATGAGTACTGGCAACCTAAACTTAACATATAAAAGAAGCACTTCATAACTAATAAAGTATTAAAAACTTTAAAACATGTCATTTAAACAATCCCACCATCAGGAAAACATGCTTTGAACCATTTTCAAGAAGTGATCATGTGAATGCATTAATTTACTTGTTTTAAATTTTTTGTTGTTGTTGTTAATGCTTATATATTGGACCAATGGAACACATTTGTTTGGCTGGGGTTCAGACACACAGTTTGTGGTGTGAAAGACATTTTTCTTTCCTCTGCACAATACCGGAGGACCCACAGAGCAATCCAATTCCTAATTCTGACCTTATTAATACCATCTTCCAGTTGACCAAGCATAGTAATGAAGATATTCTTAGAGCTTTCGCAGAAAGCCTGAAGCTTAAGGAGTAACAACAGTTTGTATTTAAATCTTAAGAAATGCACATATATATGAATATAGACACTTTAAAGTTGTTTTGCATTCTGAGGCAAGAAATAATAAATACTGAGTACAGGGCCTGCTGCTTCCTCTTTAATGCTCTAAAGCACCAATTTATGTTAAAATAGCAAAGTGTGATTATAATCATTCACTCTGATTAGAATAAACGCAACACCAAGGTTGTAATTGCTGTTAGGTTTTTGTTGTTGTTGTTTTTAACATGCTCTGTGGAATAGATGAACATGGTAAAATTTGTAACTATTCTGTAATTGAAAAAAATCATGACCGTTTTATTTTACACTTTCACTGAAATAGCAGCTAAACTTTTTTTAAGTCATAAATAAAAGTTTTTGTAACTACACTCAACAGTTTACTCCAAGAGAATAAAATAGGGGCTTCAGAGTCCCTAAATTTCCTGAGGGAAAATATAAGATTAAAATGATTATGGTCTCTTGTGAATAGGGCTTAAATATGCAAATAAGTCACTGATGACTGGGATCAACTGATAGTCATTTGATATCTTACCAACACTGATGGAAATATATTCACAGTATAAAAGAATCCATCAAATTTAGGATTTCTCCTTTCCCTTATCTAATTAAACTAATTAAATATTGACTGAGC
Source organism: Homo sapiens (assembly GCF_000001405.40). NCBI lineage: Eukaryota > Metazoa > Chordata > Mammalia > Primates > Hominidae > Homo > Homo sapiens. The sequence continues at coordinate 18,680,376 of NC_000010.11, read as the reverse complement.
ACTTTCCTATGTGCTTTAATGAAACCATATGTGAATCTCATATATCTACCATGTTGGCCCAGCTGGTAAACAAGAGTAAAACAAAACAAAGTCTCCAAGGAATGCTATCCCTTAGTTATGAATTTTGCATATTTCAAATACAGTTTGGGTGAAGGGGGTTTTTATGGGATGGTACAAACATCCCACAAACTTGAGCAAAGCACCTTATGGATTGAAAAATGAGGTAATTTTTTAATTAAAATTTTACAAGTTGTGCAAGAAAACATATCCATTCTTTTAAAACTTTGTTTTCTATTCCAAAAGCTATGCACAGCACATTTCATATTTCTCCATTTCCAGGAGAAAATGTAGATTACTGGTTTAAGAAATGCAAAAGATGCCTTTATGTGACTACAGTTCCAAATTCTAAAACCCTAATCAGTCTTCACTCCTTTGGCCACATTAAGAATAATACAGGCCATCTAGCTGTATGGTAAAAAGACAGTATTTTTTAGTAATTTTAAGTACCCTAAATACGAGGAGAGGCAGAAATTCACTGCTTTCATTCACATTTTCTCTTACCTAATATCCTTTTGAAGTTTTTTCGACCTCATGATATTGTCTTTACTTTCAAGTGCTTTGAATTTGTTTTTCGTATGCTTCTAAACCTCCAAATTAATATTTCCCAAATGTTTCACCAAACTATATACATTTAAAGCTGCCTTTAGGTCTGAGGGGCACAATTTTTTTTTCTGCTTTAAATTTAAAATGGAATAGTTGAACATATTTTTTTATATTGGTCTTCCTCTATTTATTTTGGTCCCCTAAAATTTTTTAAAAATACTTTTTTGGGGAACCTGGCTTTTGGATTTCAGTCTTCACAGTAAAAGTGAATGAATAAGGAGGAGACGCTACTGAAAAACTAACCTTGAATATAAACCACTTTCAGATTTATGTAGACATTTATGTAGACATTTGTAAAAGACTGACAACCTGGCTACTAACCCTACTCTTTCAATATGGAAAGTCACACAGAACTATAGACTGGGGTGGCATCAAACGGCAATAAACTCTGAACAAATTAACCACTTCCATTCAATTAGTACAAGCCAAGAAAATAAGGTAAATTATCTAGAAGAGAATTATTTCCAACACAGGCTGGTTCTTTCTAAGCAGCTTACTATCCTTTTCTTAGCAATATGGCTTGTTTTCTCTTTTGCATTGTCATTAGCTATTTCTATTCAGCTATTAATTCGCTGAATTTAAGTTGAATAGCAGTTACTGATACGTTTTTCCCTACTTGGTTGTATTCGTATTCTAAATAAAATAACAGGTGGGAATCAAATAATGGATAAAAATACATTTAATTTCATATTACCTGTATTGCCCTACTATTTGAGGGATTTTTAATTTTTAATAGTAGTATATAAGCATTCAGAATTTTAAAACCAAAAGACATTTTAGAGCTGTAGTTTAAGTTCCTCAGTATGGGAAAAACAAAAGGAAAGCCATGGACACTAATTGTCTAAGGTCAACTAGACAATTGAGAAACGGCCAAATTAAGGCTCAAATCCACTTTTTTAGATGGCTAGCACAATATTCTACTAGATACAAGACACCATGCTGTATCTTGAAGTCACTTTACCCCGGCAAAATGTAAAATAGCCTTTAGGACTGAATTAGAGTGAAGTTTTTTTGGTTCCAAAGCTGTAGACAAAAAGTCTGCCTCATAAAGTTGGTCTCCAAAGATAAATTCCAAAGAAATTTATCCATCTTTAGACACGACACCAGCACATTTTTCTACTGATACGGTTTTACATAGTTAAGGACTAAATAAAAATTGATTATTCAGAATGATTATGTTTATAATTTGTTCTAAGAAACTACACTAAAAAGATTTTTTAAAAAAGCTTCTATATTCTTTAAAATTTTCTTTGTGACCCCCACAACTTTTCAGAGAATATTGTTTACAGCACTGCCTATCACTGTTTCCATACTAAAATAATTATTTTCTCTTTATGCTATAATGAAAGTTAAATTATGCTTAATCAAAATGACTATGGCTATGGGGTGGCACTCATTTAAAATTTTTCAGCAATGAAACTTAAATTTATTACCTTTCTTCTAATGAATATAGAATAAAAGTATTGATACCTTTAAGCATACTAACACAAGAAACTAAAAGCAAAAATTACATATTTAATCTTCAGCTTTTAATAGATTATATATATTAATATTCCAGGTTTTAAGGAATTAAGTTACATTAACAATAAAAAATATTCCATATATTCCCTTATAAAAGGTTCTATTAATTCTAAGAGTTCTCAAATGGGCTTCAATAAGAATGATGGGTTTAAAGATGAAGGACATGACACGCTCAAAATTAAGAAAAATGCTGTATTTGAACTTGCAAGGATAATTGAACACTTTGGTTATAACATACTTAAAAGATTTCTGTTAAAATTTAATTTCCTTGTTTTCAAATTAAAAGGTAGAACAGTCTCCTGAAGGTAATGTAGGTGGGTCCCTTGCTTTTCACTTACTATAAACTGTGCTAACCAATACATGGAGGTGAAGGGGGATATAAAACACAAATTATTTCATCACTGAAATAATTAGCTGCTAACATGACTTCTAAAGAACAGGTATAATATAAAACTAAGAACTTATTTCAAAATATGAATAAAGGCACTAATTACAAATGTACATTTTTTAGACAGTATCTTACAGTTCACTGATTTACAATGAATGTCAGAACCAATGCTCTAGTATTAGATACTTGCTTGGGTTAAAACATTCTCTTGGAGTAAAGAATAATCAGTTTTCACGTTACTGTGACAGGAAAGATTGAGTGAAAACCTAAAAAATACTCTTAAAAAGTCTTACATGAATTTCCTAATCATGAACTTTTCCCAATCAGCACCGTCTACACTGATGCCAATTTCATCTTCAACACATGGCTAACATAAATCATTTCTAATCCAAAACTAACCAAATATTTTTTAAAGGATTTACAAAATAAATTGTATTTTAAAAATTAAATAGCAAATTTGAGTCTATACTAGTAGTTGGCAAAATACAATCAACTATTAAAAACACTTTTAATATAATGCTGATGTGGTAATATAAAAAATAACCATATAATTTGACAGAAGAAAATTGAGCCAGCCAATCTTACTAGATACAAGAAGGCAGATAGTCATTTCATAAGAACAAATACAGGAGTACTAAGTATGCTTTTTCTCAGGACAGACTTAGGGAAACTACCCTCAGTACTTACGGTAAACAACACAACCAAGCAGAAATTCAGGCAAACTGTGCTTAGGTAAATGGCATTTTCTTAATTCCCCCACATCCCACACACACCACAAACCATCCATATCGATTTATGTCTGCTTTTCGCTCATGTTCTTGATTATGGGTTATATTAAAAACTAAGTTAAACTACACTTATCCTCTACTTGATACAGAATCACTAAGAAAACGGCTTAAAACAAAGTTAAACAACTACTTTCCAAAGCCCAGAAAGCTTTCCTTTGGCCACTGTTCAGTTCAAGGGTGTGCTCCAACTAAAGATAAATCAGAAAAATGTTACCACATTCGACTAAATTAACTTGACTAAATATAATAAACCAAGCACACCTGAAAAAAGAGCAAAATTTAAATCAACTTACAAAAATATTAAAATTAAAATACCAATTTTGAACACATATTTTGATATTATGAACTTTGTATCTTTTTTATCAAAATTAAAAAGTACTGCAAAAATGAAGTATTATTCTCTAAGTATTCATTTTATCCCTTTCATTTCAGCAAAATCACACATTTGAATAAACAGGATCGAAATACGACACTTGTCTTTCCTCTTAATTTAAGGAATATATTGTTTAGATTATTGTTCATATTAGACAACTGCCTCAAAAATGTTTTAATGCCATCCAATAAATAAACTTTTGATAGATTATGACTTTTTTTAATTTTAAGTTGTTAAGAATATTAACTTTGAGTCTCCTATTAATATTCTAAAAGCTAGGATTCAATTCAGCAGTTTCCTATAACATTTTAGAACCCAAGGCATAACTACAAAGATGGCAATTGTTTCAAGTCTATTACATAATACCGTCAAATAAATTCAAGGAAAGCCATGTAGTTTTTTAAGTAACATACTGCTGGTAGTAAAAATGCTATGACAGACACGACTTCAAATTTTAAGAAACAAAATGGACTGTTCATACTTCGGCTTCAGCTACTGCCCAAAGCAGCTGTGATATATCTTGCAAAGAAAAGAGCTAAAATTTCTGTTGATAATAAAGTTGTTTGTAAACTGATGCTAAAATATATTCCAATTGTCTTATTTTTAGTGCTGGTATGATTTACTAACTTCTGATAGTTTTATATGCATTGAATAATGTGATATTCTTAAAATAACAGATTTATTCAAGAATATTTAACATCAAAGTTGGGCTTTCAAATAAATATTTTACCTTGGTTAGTTTTTGAACAAATGTTGCAGGCAGAAGAGTGGACTTGATTCCTTTAGATAAATAAACAGCCTACTTAATTTCCATGCAAATAACAACTTAAACATTATTCCATGACTCAACAGTAATGTGGGGGAAAGTTAAAAGGCAAGTACTCATGATGTGGAATCTTCCTTACATATATCCTCTAGGCAGATTTCTTTCTTTACAGTAAGTTCTGTCCGAAAGATGAATGGTTTATAGAGGGAACAAATATATTTAGTGCTGGAGAAGTCTGCAGGCAGTACCTGATGGTTTCCAAGACTACTCTATCAAACCAGTAATTCTCTGGTTGGGAGGGAGTGCTGGTCAAGAATTGAAAGCAATTGGTCATTAAGGTTATAAGAATATTTCAGAAGACATCACGCATATGACAAACATTTCTTACAAGGCAGTCACTGATTAATTAGAATAAACAGAAGAATTGTTGCTGAAAACATAGTTATACATTACATTCATCCAACTGAAGATTAGTGTGTTAAAAAAAAAAAGTTAAGAAAAAATCTTTTATGTTCCAGTTCAGCTGCACTTGATTCAAGTGTTGCTCTCAGAGGTTTGTGTTGTTATAAATTAAACATGCTGCTGCCTTAGCAGCCAAAGGTACTAGGAAAAAATGTTCATGTCACAGAATAAATAGAGCAGTCTCTTTCAAGCAAAAAAGTTATCTCACACCAATCCGGGAGGTCATCCACTCTAGACCTTGGCATAACCTAAACAAAAGATAGAAGTATTTTTAATTAAAAACCTTATACTTAAAAACTGAAAGCGTACTTATTATTTTTAGGTCTTAACCAAAGGCTGGTAGCACAATCATTATTTATATACATCAGTGTCAACATTCAAGTCACACTATAATAAGTGAAATTTTTAAATGGAATGTTCTCTTAAATATTCTTAATCAGTTTGTGGGAAATTGCTTCAGTCTCATCTTGAAGATACAACTTTGCCAGTTTTGCCATGAAGAGTGCAAATACTCCCCGCCTTTTAAAATTAACTGAAACTTAACGACTGGAGAAAGTCAATAGCAACTTCACCTTATCCTCCTCAATTCTAAAGAATGGAATACTTAGACTCAGTCTTAAAAGTATGAGTCAAAAAGGCCTACACACAGCTATTACTGCAAGCTATTTCTGATAAATACTAAGAGAAAAACTAAGAAGGTGAGGTTGATTTGAGGATAAGTTCTCTGATATAAACAGGATAATACTTAAATAACATTCGGTTCTTCTTGGCCTAATACCCACATTCAAATTGTTAGAGATGGAAGAATAGACCATGTGGCATTTGTCTCAACTGTTTATTGTCTGGAAATATGCCTCCCAAAAGACCTCCTAATAATAAAGAAGACATACTCTTGCAGAAAGCTGAGAGCTCAGGTTTAAGTCCTTGCAGAAAATGTGAAATTTCTTTCAAGCTTCCTTTTTAAAAGAAAGGTGACATTACAGTTTTTTTCTCAGTATATGATAAAGGCAACAAAGAAAAAAATTTGGATTATGAAAACTCAATTCAATAGTTTATTGCTTTTTGGTAAAACATTATATTTACATTAAAAGTTTTTAAGTTGCCAGTGATTTTACTAGAATTATTTCTAGGTTGTAAGCCTGAGACACATTATAAAAGTCACCTTTAATTAAGAACAAACAAACAGAAAAGGAACAGGACCCATGAAGAAAACAAGTTGGCCTAAAAAGTTGGAAGAAATTTGAAAGAAGTCATACCTCCCCTCAGACGGATGAACTTACCCTTCTCCTGTGAGAGCACAGCAGGATTGAATGTGCCATGGATGATCCTTAATTGAACTAAGGGTGAGGTATTTCGAGATTTCAGCTGCTGTCATACACCCTTTCATATCCTGTTTATTTGCAAAGATAAGGACTGCAGCCTTCCGTAAATCCTGCAATCAAGACAAAATATTTCTAATATGTGAAATACCACAATTTAAATTTACCCAGCTGAACAGTTATAATGAAGTGCTTCTACTTTAACATAATCGGGCACTAGTATTTAACATAAAAATAATCTCAAATACCCGTAATTTCATTATTCATTCCAACAGATTAATATTAAATAATTATTTTTTATTTTTGAGTCGAACTGGTCAAACTGAAAAAAAAAAATACACCTGAATTTTAAATACTGACTCAAAAATACATAATTAATATTCTAATAGGCAAATATGGTAGTATGTTGCCAAATACTAGAGTTTATCCAAAACTTAAGAGTACTGGTGGTGGGAGCTGGGCAATACTTATTACTTACTAGTCTTTGTATAACATAAGGTCATTGGTTAATATTCATTTCAGCATTGTTTATACTATGAAAACATTAGAAGAATAGATTGTGATATACTCATACTGTGGAAAACTATACAGTTGTTAAAAGGAATGAACGAAAGCAGTACATATTAAGATGGATAATCAGAATATATTATCATGGATAAGTCACAATGTTGTACAAAAAGAGCAAGATTCAGAAAGATATATATTATATAGTATAAGTTTGAAAAACATGGAATACAGGCCAGGCACAGTGGCTCACACCTGTAATCCCAGCACTTTGGGAGGCTGAGGCAGGCGGATAACGACATCAGGAATTCAAGGCCAGGCTGGCGAAGATGGTGAAATCCTGTCTCTACTAAAAATACAAAAATTAACCAGGCGTGGTGGCGGGTTCCTGTAATCCCAGCTACTCGGGAGGCTGAGGCAGAGAACTGCTTGAACCCAGGAGGCGGAGGTTGCAGTGAGCCAAGATCGCGCCACGGTACTCCAGCCTGGGCAACAGAGCAAGACTCCGTCTCAAAAAAAACAAAAACAAAAACAAAAAACAAAAAAAAAACCTTTCAGTTATTGAAACTTTTGGGGAAAAGACCCTTAAGTTTTCCTTTTGCTTATCTCAATTTATCAGACTTTTAAAGGCATGCTTAAGTAACTTTAGCTTTGAAAAATTTTTACAATAACAGTAGTAATCTACAAATTAATGTGTTAGGGTTTTTTAAGTTTGAAAAAGTAATGAACATTTTTTTTTACCTCAAGACTTTCATCAGTTTAGTACATAAAGTTGTGTTAATCATAAAATAGCCAACATCATATCACATTAATCTTTGCAAAAAAGCAAAGGCAACGTACAGATACTTTACTACACTGTTTTTTAAAGATTTACTTTAAAAATTTACCTCATGAGCCAACATTCTGTATAATTCTTCTTTTGTAATAGCTAGTCGTTCCCTGTCAATGCTATCAACAACAAGAATGATGAACTAGAAGAAAATTAAAAGGAAAGACAGAAAATTGAATGGGATGCTGAAAAGTTTTCTGTAAAACTACTCAAGTAATCTAAGTACTTTCTCTACATGGCATCATCATTACTATAAAACATCTACTGCTTTTTCACCATAAACAGCTTTTATAATACTGAACCACATCAAGCAGTAAAATCCAAATGTTAACAGTAAGAAAATAACTCATAGCTTCAACAAATAAAAACTGTGCCCCACTTGTTTTATTTTAAGTGATGCCCGAATACATAATACTATGATTTGTTTTCAAATGCTGGTAGTAAAAAGCAATTTTTGAAAAGAAACTTACACTAATTTCAATAATATTTTTCACTAAAACTTCAAAGTACTCCATTATCATTCATCTAAACAGTCAATAATTGCTTACTTGTGTATACCACAATCTCCTAACTCTTAGAAAGAAAAGCTAGTTTGAAAGAAAAAGATAAATGCATTTTAAAAATAAGACAATTTTATAAAACAGTATCCACCATAAATGCTCCAGATTGAAACATATATACTTAGGCATTATATACTGGAGATTCAGGTGAAATTAAATAAAGGCAAGACACCAGAAAAAAGAGGAGAAATCTGTTGGTAAAGCTATACATGAAAAAAGGGAGTTTGCATATTAAAAAATAAGAAGATATAGGCCAGGCATTGTGGCTCACACACATATAATCCCAGCACTCTGGGAGGTGAGGTGGGATGACTGCTTGAGCCCAGGAGTTTGAGACTAGCTTGGGCAACATAGTGAGAACCTGTCTCTCTACAAAAAATAAAAATTAGCCATGCACATAGTCCCACCTACTTGGGAGGCTAAGGTGGGAGGACTGCTTTGAGCCTAGGAAGTTGAGGCTGTACTGAGAATCATGCAACTACACTCCAGCCTGGGTGAGAGAGAGGCCCTAACTCATTTTTTAAAAAATGTGGGGGGTGGGTGAGGGGGAGGAGGAGGAGGAGATGGAGGAGATGATACAGCGAAAAAGCACCCTTAAGCTGAACACTGTATACAGAATAAAAAGTTAAGAAATGAGATGAAATGATGTTATTACAGCAGGAGATAGATGCAAAATAAACTGAGACATGAAGGGTAGAATTAGATTACAGAGATGACTTTAAAATTAGGGAAACAGGCTAGGTGCAGTGGCTCACACCTGTAATCCCAGCACTTTGGTAGGCCGAGGTGGGCATATCACTTGAGGACAGTTCAAGACCAACCTGGCCAACATGGTGAAACCCTGTCTCTATTAAAAACACAAAAATCAGCCAGGTGTGGTGGTGTGTACTGTAGTCCCTGCTACTTCGGAGGCTGAGGGAGGAGAATCCTTTGAACCTGGGAGGCGGAGGCTGCACTGCTCTCCAGCCTGGGTGACAGACTGAGACTCCATCTCAAAAAAATAAATAAATAAAAAACAAAAATAAATAAAATTAGGGAAACAGACAACTAATCTGAATATAAACTGAGTTGGGCTTAGAAGGGAATAAACGGAAAGAATGTCGCGTGGCAAAGGAGGAATCAACAGAATATGGGAAACAACTGTGAGTTAATGAGAGGAAGGTGTCAATAATTACTTAATACCTGTAACTTCTTGTATTATAATGGACATACTACCGCTTTTGGGGGACTCTTCCACGTGAAGAATTTTCAAAATGCAAAGTGACAGGCGCCACTGTTCTTTGTAGTAATTTTGATATTCTTGTAGAGATCACTTATTAAAAGAACGTTTCATGCAAATGGCATCAGTAATGGATATCTCTTTCTGGACCCATGCTAAGTCCTCCAGAGTTTCAGTCACTTCAAGAACTACCCTTTCGACACACTTTAAGTACATATGGATTCACTAGAATCAACTTTGACCTATTCATCAATGATAACTGCCCTTTTCACAGCTGGAGTTAACTGTGAGCTTAAAACTACTAACAGCTCTGATGTTTAAATTAATCATATGCTACAATGTCATTTGTCCCTTACTTTCTTTTCTTTTTTTTTGAGAGAGAGCGAGACTCTGCCACCCAGGCTGGAGTGCAGTGGTGCTATCTCAGCTCACTGCCACCTCCGCCTCCCAGGTTCAAGCGATTCTCATGCCTCAGCCTCTGGAGTAGCTGGGACTACAGGCACATGCCACCATGCCTGGCTAATTTTTGTATTTTTAGTAGAGATGGGGTTTTGCCATGTTGGCCATGCTGGTCTTGAACTCCTGGCCTCAAGCAATCTGCCCACCTCGGCCTACCAAAGTGCTGGGATTACAGAAGTGAGCCACTGCGCCTGGCCCTTCCCTTACTTTCTAACTTATTCTAGTTTCAGAACATTATTTTACTGTATAAATGTATAAGCTACCCTTTAACTATATTATTTGCTTACAGCTTCTGCATACCCAATAAAATAATTCAGTGCTACCACAAGTTCTGATTATCTATGATACGCCATCTTTGTTTACTTACACGTTGCATTGGAATATATACACACATACACACATGCTATTATAATATAAATCTAGAACAATACATGTTTTTTAAAGAGGCAACTTTGTTCACCAAAAATTATTCATATTATATCCTTTTCTACCTCTTCCCTTCCAACTCCAATTTTTTTTTTTTTTTTTTTTGAGATAAGAGTCTCGTTTTGTCACCCAGGCTGGAGTGCAGTGGTGCCACCTCGGCTCACTGCAAACTCTGCCTCCTGGGTTCAAGCGATTCTCCTGCCTCAGCCTCCTGAGTAGCTGGGGACTACAAGTCTGCCCCACCACGCCCGGCTAGTTTTTTGTATTTTTAGTAGAGACGGGGTTTCACCTGTGTTAGCCAGGATGGCCTCAATCTCCTGACCTCATGATCCACCCGCCTCGGCCTCCCAAAGTGCTGGGATTACAGGCGTGAGCCACCGTGTCTGGCCCAACTCCAATTTTTAAAAGGTTTCATTTTAGAAAAAAATAATTGGTTAGGTGTACTTCTTTGCAAAGAACAATTAAATGGATGCAATTGTGAAATCATACTATCAAGGATAAATCTCTCTAAACTACATTGAATGGCTTTTAAAAAAATCTGCCTCTAATAAGAAATAAAAGCAGAAATAGAACATGAATATATCCAGGTTTGTTCCCCAAGTTAGCTCTGAACTCATAAGTGGCAGAGAACTTTGAGAGATGATTTGCAAATCTACTTTTTTCTAATTAAAAAAAAATCTACCAACATTTTGAATGTTCATGGTATAAAAAATTTTTAAATTAATAAAATATTTTATTCCTCCACCGGTCAGGGTCTCTTAGAAAGTTGTGAGATCTTGGGGAAACCTACATAATATCTCCACGTGTCAGATCTCTCCAACCCTGGAGACATGAAAATCTTGTGAAGATGAATGGAGAGAACCTGGCCAAACAGTAAGCACTCAAGTAATAATAGCTCCAAACAATCTTTCTATTTGCCTTTTCTTTTATTCGAAAACCCAAATTCTTAAGTCTCATTTATGAAATTTTTATTTATTTATTTTTTAAAAAAAGGAAACCCAAATTCCCTACAAAAAAGGATCTTATTAAAAGGCCGGCCACGGTGGCTCAAGCCTGTAATCCCAGCACTTTGGGAGGCCAAGGAGGGTGGATCACGAGGTCCCGAATTCAAGACCAACCTGATCAATATGGTGAAACCCCGGTCTCTACTAAACATACAAAAATTAGCCGGGTGTGGTGGCACTCGCCTGTAATTCCTGCTATTTGGGAGGCTGAGGCAGGAGAATGGCTTGAACTCAGCAGGCGGAGCTTGCAGCGAGCCAAGATCACTCCACTGCACTCTAGCCTGGCGACAGAGCAAGACTCCGTCTTAAAAAAAAAAAAAAAAAAGGCAACTGTCAATACGCCCAGGTGCAGCCTAATTACTTTCTATGTTTACTCTAGGGACCTTTGGATTAAAATTCAAAATTCATCTTAGCATACCTCTGTATTTGAGTAATATGTGTTCCAGGATGATCGCAGAGACTCCTGACCACCAATATCCCACATAAGAAAATGAGTGTTCTTCACAACTATTTCTTCAACATTGCTTCCTATGGTTGGAGAAGTATGAACCACTTCATTCATTAAGCTGTTGAAAAACAGACACCGTAAAAGCTCTTGTAAATCTTGAGAATCTGAAGCAACTTTTATCTCTGTATTTTTAAGATCAATCAACCTTCTGCACCAATGATGGTGATCATTAGCATGAAAATTATAAACCTGGAGAACACTTGCGCAAATCAATATCTAGATAACAACTCCAGAAGAAAGACTTGTTTCTTGTTTGTTTTTTTTTTTAACGGAAGGAATTGCAAGCTTGATGGAAAAGAAAGGAAACAGTGTGGTGTGAATTTGCATTTCTGTGGCCAAAAATTCCAATACCACCATGCCCTGTTATCAGTTAGATAAGACCCAATGTCCCATGCCATCCTGAAAAGCAAGTTTCTAGGTGATTGCAAAATAGCAAATATTGGATAGCAGGCTATCTATAATTTTGAAGACTGTCTAAATTGAGACTTAGTCACAAAAATTAATTCAGGCATATTAATCTAAAGTAGTCCTAAAAAGATGACCATGGGCAAGTAAAAATTTAAATTAACTATAGATATATTTAGAAGGCCAGGTGTGGTGGCTCACACCTATAATTCTAGCACTTTGGGTGGATCACCTGAGGTCAAGAACTTGAGACCATCCTGACCAACATGGTGAAGCCTCGTCTCTACTAAAAATACAAAAATTTGCAGGGCGTGGTGGTGGGCGCTTGTAATCCCAGCTACTCTGGAAGCTGAGGCAGGAGAACCGCCTGAACCTGGGAGGTGGAGATCACGCCATTGCACTCCACCCTTAGAAACAGAGCAAAACTCTGTCTCAAATATGTGTGTGTGTGTGTTTGTGTGTGTGTGTATATATATATATATATATTTAGAATACTGATGCTCATACCCCTCGTATTATCATAATCATTGGTAAAGCTACATTAATCAATTAATTCAACAAATATGCCCTTGCCAGTAACATGTCACTACTGTGTTGGAGGAGGCTTGCAATTCTCTTGGGTTTTATGTATATTTTTGAAGCCATGTGTAAAATTATTTCAACAAAGATGACAGGTTTCTGAAATGTTTATATGTGATGTTTAAAAGCTAATTCATATTTAAACACATAATCACCAATGAATGAAAATGTTTTCAAGAGAAACAAGTAGTTGTTCAACTCTGAAACAACAAACTTTAAGTCAGTAGCTTTTTAGCAAAGTAGCTGAAAAATGCGTTAATCACTGGCTAATGAAGTACTTCTGGTGAGCTGATGGCTGTCTTCTAATGCAACATGAGTGGGAAGAGGTAAGAGCCACACAATGGGGCAAAGAACTGTAGAACTATTTTGTTAAAGTGCCTGGTAGATCCACTTCTACTGCTTAATACTATCATTTCATTGGCATTGAAAGGATAATGGAAGGTACTCTGACAAGTGGAATGATGAGCTGTGAAAATTTCCTAAGGTATTAACAGATTTCTCTGAAAGTCTCAAGACTCTCCCTCTTGCAAGCTACTACAGCAATATTTTCAGGAGTGATCACATTTCTTTTGACAAGTCTGGCTATGTTAAAAAATTCCAAAGCTATTAGTCAGGAGGGTAGCAATGGCTTCCTAGAGCTATCAATTTATTTACATAAACCCAAGTGGGGTAAGAACTAAGTGAAATCCACTTTATCACCTCACCCCAGCACTTCTAATATGCGCTTTATTTATTTAATATTAATTTCTTTCTTTCGAGGGCAGAAAACAATAAGTGTTTGTGAAGGGTTTAGCAAATGTTTATTTCACTCACTTTTCTATAGATTGTGTTCGGTAAAATTAAAAAAACAAAAAACAAAAAACATATATTTAAGTTTTTCCGTCATTATTATAATGCATCTCTTATTAATTGTAAACACATTAGTTTCAATAACTAGTGAAAACTGTTTAATAAACACCCATACTTACAATTGGTAAAGAATGGTGGTTTTCCCTGCATTATCCAGTCCCACTATAATTACTTTGTGTTCTACAAAAAGAAAGCAAATCATAAACATTTAACACTACTGCATTACTGCAATTACATGCTTTCAACAATGATTATTAGTTAGCTCATTAATGAGAATCATTCACTGAATATCTATCACTAGACTTAAAATGCAGAAAGAAATGTTATGATGTTAAGGCTACCTAGGTTAAGTAACAAAATCAATTATCATTGATTCTCTGTCTAGTTCTCATGTAAAAGAATGTGGGAGATGGGTAGGCAGGAAACACCAGCAAAGTTGGTCACTTATATTGCATCTAGGGGAGAGGAGACCCAAATATTAATCTAGGCAAAAATTATAACCTAAATGTAAGTTTTTTAAAAAGCCTGTTTTACACACCTTTTTAGCTCTGTACCAATCAAGTTAGCTTTTTATCAAAATGTTTTCATATCTGTAAGTTTCCCCACCTATGTATACCAGGATCTGTTTCTTCCTCTCACTTAAAAATCCCATGTAAGCTTAAAATTGAAACGTTTCATGTGTCACAAAGACAAACATATACTCTCAAGTTTTTACACAATTACTCATTGTTTAACATTTTTTCAACCGGCTTCTACAGTTCTTTTGAGCAGATTCTGTTTCTGCTCTTTGTACAATGAAAATCTCTTCAGTTCTTTCCTCCTTTGGGTGCCATGCACTAAATATTCACCTCTTTTAATAAGTAGTTGCTAAAGCTCATCTAATTATTCCGTTAAGTGGTATATATTCTGCAATGTCCTTTGAATACAGAAAACAACCCAGATACCATCTTTCCTAGATTTTCACTTATGCCAAGTATACTAAAGATCCCCTTCTCCAAGGCAGAAGAATGCTTAAAAAGTTACAAGTTAACATCAACAGGGTAAGTAGGGAAGTTTCCACAGAATCACAACACAGTTGATTTGTAGGCAACGATTGGGCACATCTCATATCAGAATCCCGCTCTTCTTGATGACCTCTGGTGAATGTCAACATTCTGGTCATATAATCAACTATCAGCTCATATTCCTACTCTGAAGTTCTAAACTTCATCAGCCAAAAAAAGAGGGACCAAGAAAATTTAAGTTCTTGAGATGTGCAGGTCTTCCAATGACCTACACACTCTAGATACAGCCTATTACAGTGCAGGATAAACAGACACGGTCCTCTGGAAGGGCTATTTTCACTATGGTAGAAGCTGCTTTGTAAAACAAAACAAAACTTGCCTGCTTAGTATAACTCACTATAATTCTCCTTATTTATTTGAGACAGGGTCTTGCTTTGTTGCCCAGGCTGGAGTGCAGGGGCATGATCACTGCAGCCTCGACCTCCCAGGCTCAAGTGATCCTCCTACCTGAACCTCCTGAATAGCTGGGACCACAGGTGCACACCACCAAGCTTGGCTACATGTCCTCTAATGAAGCTAATCTTTAAGTATTACCCTGTTTGTTATCCCTTAAAGTACAAGAACCTTTATCAGTGAGGAACAAACAGACTGCCTGGCACTAAGCATTCTAAATTTTGGTGACAGCTAGAAGCTCCACCTACCAAGCATCTACAGAAAACAACATGCCTGCAGTGGTGAGAAGGAAGCCACTAGTTTAAAGATAAGCAAAACTTGAAGGCAGATAATCCTGTTGGGAGAAAGGAATGGAAGGACAGTACCAGATGGCTCCTTCTTGAAGCAACTCAAATGAAGACCCAGGTCATTTGCAAACAATCCTGCTCCTTGCTTCACTTTTGCACTATGATGCTTCACATAATACTGAAGGCCTGTGATGGTAAAACTCACCAATAATGCACCATTTTGAAAGGTAGGTCCCTAACATGAGGAAATGTTAGGTTAAGACACTACTGTTAGGCCAGGCGTGGTGCCTTACGCCTGTAATCTTAGCACTTTGGGAGGCCGAGGTGGGAGGATCACGAGGTCAGGAGATCAAGACCATCCTGGCTAACACGGTGAAACCCTGTCTCTACAAAAAATACAAAAAAATTAGCCGGGCATGGTGGCGGGTGCCTGTAGTCCCAGCTACTTGGGAGGTTGAAGCAGAAGAATGGCATGAACCCGGAAGACGGAGCTTGCGGTGAGCCGAGATCGGGTCACTGTGCTCCAGCCTGGGCAACAGAGCGAGACTCCATCTCAAAAAAAAAAAAAAAAAAAAAAAAAAGACACTACTGTTACTATCAGTTACAGTAAATCAGAATGTTTTAGGCCAGGTGCAATGACTCACACCTGTAATTCCAACACTTTGGGAGGCCAAGGAGAAGTGATCAGTTAAATCTAGGAGTTTGAGACCAAACTGGGCAATACAGTAATATCCCATCTCTTAAGAAAAAAGTTAGCCAGGTCAGGCATGGTGGCTCACACCTGTAATCCCAGCACTTCAGTAGGCTGAGGTGGGCAGACCACAAGGTCAGGAGTTCAAGACCAACCTGGCTAATTTGGTGAAACTCCGTCTCTACTAAAAATACAAAACTTAGCCGGGCATGGTGGCAGGTGCCTATAGTCCTAGTTACTTGGGAGGCTGAGGCAGGAGAATCACTTGAACCTGGGAGGCAGAGGTGGCAGTGAGCTGAGATTGCACCACTGCACTCCAGCCTGGTGACAGAGCAACACTCCGTCTCAAACAAAACAAAACAAAACAAAAACAAAGAATGGTCTGGAAGACAGGATGCAGATAGATGATAAGTTTAAGTTTAGTGTGTTTGAAACCTGCTTACAGTCCAGAGTTAAGAGCAGAATAAGCTGGGGCCGGGCGCAGTAGCTCACACCTGTAATCCCAGCACTTTGGGAGGCCGAGGTGGGAGGATCACAAGGTCAGGAGATCGAGACCATCCTAGCTAACATGGTGAAACCCCGTCTCTACTAAAAATACAGAAAATCAGCCGGGCGTGGTGGCAGACACCTGTAGTCCCAGCTACTTGGGAGGCTGAGGCAGGAGAATGGCATGAACCCGGGAGGCAGAGCTTGCAGTGAGCCGAGATAACGCCACTGCACTCCAGCCTGGGCGACAGAGAGAGACTCCATCTCAAAAAAAAAAAAAAAAAAAAGAGCAGAATAAGCTAAAGAGAGAAATGTGAGCCACAAGATCTGAGATCTGAGCAGTCAGAAGTAAAGGACAATAATCATACGCAATTGGCAACCAGTGTTCAAAATGATAACATGAAATTCATGGATTGGAAAGAAATGATTAAATTATGAAATTAAGATGTTACTGTTACATGGTTCTGAAAAAGAACTACAATTAAAACTGTATTTCATTTGTTCTTAATTCTGGGTAACACTAGAAATAACTGGCCAGGTGCAGTGGCTCACGCCTGTAATCCCAGCACTTTGGGAGGCGAGTAGATCACCTGAGGTCAGGAGTTCGAGGCCAGCCTAGCCAACATGGTAAAATCCATCTCTACTACAAATACGAAAATTAGCCAGGCATGGTGGCAGGTGCTTGTAATCCCATCTACTCCAGAGGGTGGGGCAGGAGAATTGCTTGAACTTGGGAGGCAAAGGTGGCAGTGAGCTGAGATCACAGGACTACACTCCAGCCTGGGTGACAGAAAATATAACAATAATAAATAAAATTTAAAGACATCACTGGGCCAGGCATAGTGGTTCACGTCTGTAATCCTAGCACTTTGGGAGGCCAAGGCGGGCGGATTACCTGAGGTCAGGAGTTCAAAACCAGCCTGACCAACATGGTGAAACCCCACCTCTACTAAAAATACAAAAATTAGCCGGAGTGGTGGTGTGCGCCTGTAATCCCAACTACTCAGGAGGCTGAGGCAGGAGAATTGCTTGAACCCAGGAGATGGAGGTTGCAGTGGACCGAGATCGCACCACTGCACTCCAGCCTGGGTGACAGAGTGAGACTCCATCTCATTAAAAAAAAAAAACAAACAAACAACAAAAAAAGAAATAACTGATGACAGGTTTCCACAATCATAACACTGAGAGAAAAAGACTATGCCTACAAAAGTTCAAAAGAAATTTAAAAAACAATGCAAAACTTTAGAGGTGAGCTATCAAACACACATAACACATATGTATTTCACAGAACTACATTAACATATAAAATGTTTGCAGAGATAATCAGAATTCCAAATTATTTCCTTGAATAATAACTGTCGAAGTAAACAGGCTTCCAGTTCAAACAATACAAAATTGCAGGAATTAACTTTTACATTGCTTTACTTAGACAACACACGCTTTAGTATACTTATTCACAGAAAGGTATCTAATTTATAAGACGCATGAGACTCTAAAATGCTACAGGAAAAAAAAGGATGAGAATGTGGAAATACTGGAAGAAAGACACGGGAAAGGAGCACATAAAGTAAGATCAGTAGTTCTTAACACTGGCTGCACATTCGATTTACCTTGGCAGTGATGCCCAGGCCTCTTCACCCCAATCTAATTTAGTTGGTGTGAGGTGGCGCTTTGGGCCTGTTATTCTAATATATCTAATTCCACTGGAATAGATAAATATAGTTACAAAAATGGAAAATGCTGAGATTGGTAGTTAATTTTGTTGATGCAGAAAACAAAAATATAGGCTAAGATACATCTGTGGATTAAACCCTTCAGTGAGTCCCATTCCTTGCTCTAGAGAGTTTAATGTCTTAGTCAACACTGGAGGCCCTCTGTGATAAGGTTCTCCTGGTTGTCTTTCCAATCTCATCTCCTCTTCACTCCTCGCAAGCAAACTAACACACAGCCAAGCTCAACTATTTTCAGCTTCCCTAAAAGTACCAAACTAGCTCATTCCTCTCCCTTTTGCATATTAGCTCTTCTGCCTAGAATAACACGTCCCTTCTATTCGGTCTGTCTAGCATGCCACCCAAATTCCTACTCATCATTACATTACGTCCAAGTATACCTTGTGCTGCAGCCAACGTTATATTTTTACACATATCTGTTAAATAATTTACCACACTGCATTTTTTTTCATGTTTGTCTCGTTTATTGATGTTTGAATACTTTGCCAAGAAGTAAGGTATCTTTATTCTTTAATTTTGTATCTCCTATGCTAAACTCTGAAGACTGGCCTATGGCTGTATGAATGAATAAGAATAAAATAACAGAATAATCACTGGTTCTAAATTTTCCAACAGGAAAGTTAGAGGAAGAGAAAAATTCTAAGTAGAAATGGAGATTCAGGAGGCCTGAACAATTATGCGAGTATAAAAGTAGCCACTGGATGTCTTTCATCACCATCTACATTTTCCCCTTACATCTTTTATTACCTCTAGTCTGAGTAAGGACACCTCCAACGAAAAAAGACAAGACAGCAGCCATGTAACAGAAAAGGGAGAAAGGAAAACGGGAAAGGATATAAAGGGAAAACCAACTACTTCGGTAACGTTTCGATTCTCCAGCTCAGGGGAAAGAGAAAACTGGTGATTTTTGTATTAATCTTTATACCTTTAAGCATGTCTTAAAATGCTGTTTTACCGCTGGGCGCGGTGGCTCACACCTGTAATTCCAGCACTTTGGGAGGCCGAGGTGGGTAGATCACCTGAAGTCAGAAGGTCGAGACCAGCCTGCCCAACATGGCGAAACCCTGTCTCTACTAAAGATACAAAAATAGGCCGGGCGTGGTGGCGGGTGCCTGTAAATACCAGTTACTCGGGAGGCTGAGGAACAAGAATCGCTTGAACCCAGGATGCAGAGGTTGCAGTGAGCTGAGATTGCGCCACTGCACTGAAGCCTGGGCGACAGAGAAAGACTCTGCCTCAAAAAATAAATAAATAAAAATAATATTTTAAATGTATGGATAATACCCACAAAGTGTGAAGCTCTGCTCACTTTGAAATCATTTGATAAGTAATATTATCTGTGGTTACTGGATACAGGCATATACATATATATACACATGTGTGTGCCTGTATCTATATTTATAACCTTGAAAAAGACTGCTTTAGTGTTCTTATCAATCTACAGAACAAGTCAACTAAAGCCATTCCATTACCTCCACAACTTCTTAAATCCAGAAAAAGATTAGATACCTACATTAGCAGTAACAAATTGGTACCAACATAAAAGGAAATAAAACTGGCTTATTAACGATGCCCGGCTCTTAAATGTAAAATGAAACGAGTTGATTTTCAAAACTGGTTTCAATTACTAAGAAACCATTCTGTTCAAAGGACGCCTCAAACTTTAACTTATCGTCGGCCCCTTTTTTGGTCTGGGTGTTTTCTCTCTTCAGAAGACATCACATCTCATTCTGATTCAGAACAGGTTTTGCAACTTCTCGGCCCTTTGGACCTGCCACTTCCAGGTGTCTCATTACCTGTTACAGACTAATTACGGACACGTAACGTCTTACACAAAACCGAAAAGCATTTAGTTTCTGAACTAAATGCTTTAAAAAAAAAAGTTTACAATGAAGATGCTGGAAAACTCGTGCATCTGAATAGGACAACTCATTCCCAAGTCCTAGAGGAAAGGAGGCGAAATCAGAGTGAAAGTGCACTGGCTTACGGCTCAAACTGCAGGGCGGGAAAACAAAGCACCTACATTACTCAAAAAAAAAAAAGTTCTAGGTTTCTGGGCGGACACTTATCCTGGGGATACACATAGACACAAGCACGCTTCAATAAAGACGAGAAAGGCCCTCCATACGCCTCCTGGCATCATTAGCTGTATCCCGCTTTACTTCGCCAATATCCAAACATTCTCAGTTTGGATTCTGGGACGCCAAATACCTTCTCTTCTGCCTCCCTATTTCTCCCACACGTCAGGTCTCTCCTGTACGTCCTCCAGGTCTAAAACACTGAGTTTCTGCCCGCCCCCTGGCCTAAGTCCCTTCCTCCTCCGCGTCTCCGAACGCTCTGTCCCCTGTCTCCGGTGTCCCCATCGGCGGCGGGACCCTCTGCCTCGGATTCGAGCCGCCGCGCAGCTCCATTCTTCTCACCTTGGTTACAGAAGAGGCTCCACAGTTTGGCGAAGATCAGCCCCATCACGAGCACCGGGGCGGGCCGCGGGGTCCCTCGGCAGCAGGTGCCGCTGCGCCGGGTCCCCCACCGCGGCGCGGGCTGCGCGGAGCCGAGGAGAACCCGCCTGAGATCGCGCAGCGAGGGCACTGCTAGGCCGAGAAGCCTCGACCCGACCACTCAGAAGGCGCCGCGACGAATCCCCACCGGACAGCCCTTTGTTTCGAGCCCACTGAGCCCAACGCCGACCCGTAGTCCCCTCGGTCTGTACCCACCTACCTACCACAGCCTCTCCACAGCCCCAAGCCCCGCCTCCACCCCGCCTCCCCTCCGGATCCCAGGACCACCCATCGCCGGAAGCTAGGCGCGTGACGACGGCGCACTTACGGCAACCCACGCCTTCGACGTGGCGTTTTCTTCGGTTTCACTTCCGGTAGGAGAGTCCCAAACGGCCAGCGGCTGGGAATTTGCGGTATCGCGGGGGGGTGGGAAATTTCCCTTGGTGCGTGCTCCTTCTGATGTCAGCCTTCAAAACGTTTGTGGGACTCCCCTTTGATTTGAGTCTCTGCTGCTAGCAGCTGCTTCCCTGACCTCTAAAACCAGGAAAGACCATAGGTTCTCTAAGTGAGCAGCCGCCGTTTGCTGCTCTTAGAAAACTCACAGAAGTGAAGAGTGTTTCTTTCCTGACTTATTCCTGTTCCCCTAGGCAGGCGTGCTAGGGGTTAGGAGTTCTGCCGTGATTCTTCTTCATTCATTTATTAATCTATTCATTCACGTATTCATTCATTGGCTTATGCATTTATGTACTCATTGATTGATTGATCGATTGCAGACGAGGTCGGGCTGTGTTGCCCAGGGGGACTCAATTTCCTGGGCTCAAGCGATCTTCCTGCCTCGACTTCCCAAAGTGGTGGGATTGCAGGCTCAGCCACCGCGCCCGGCCCCTGTCGTGATTCTTAGTTCTGAAAAGAATTGATTGGGAGACGAGCCATGGAAGGCCTGGAGCCACAGAGTTCAGTTATGTGATTAATAATAACACATAATAATAACACATAGCACCCCTCTCCATTTTGCCAAGCATTAGGTATGTTCGTGGATCCCAGATCGAAGTCCACGCATAAGCCAATTCGCTGTGTAATTGTTTTCAATTCCACTTTCCATGGTTAGGTTCTAGCATTGAAAAGAAAAGCTTCACAGCCTGGCATGAAACGAAACTGAATGTCCTTGAAACCAGTTGACGGAGGAGCAAGCTTAAAATTTTTTTAGACTCTGACTTCAGTCAGATGGTTGGATTTTAACCTTGGCAACGTGGCCTTTTAACATGCCAAACTCTTGAGTTAACCTGTACAAGGAGAATGTATGACTTACGTCCTCCCAGTGCTATGGTTTAAAGACCCTTTAAGACTTAGATGCAGGATAATATGCTCCAACGTTACAACATTAAAGGCAAGTTTCAACCTCCTATGTAGAGGAAAAAGAATGTACTGACCCTATGCAAACTTAACTTTCATGACTATCAGTTGGACCATAAATGTGAATAATTTTGTGTTTGTGTAAGTAATGGCTTAAAAGGACATTTTTAGTCCTAGCTTCATTATCACAAAACAAACTTTAGATTCCGTAACAGCTTCTTCAATTGTTAGACATGGATGTAAACCACATTCTGCTTTTTTTTTTTTTTTCTGGCTTTCGGATTTCTAAGAAACCATTTCTGAAAAGAACAAAGCATTTTTGTATGAAGATGCAGACATTTGGCTGGGCGCTGGGGCTCATGCTTGTAATCCCAGCACTTTGGGAGGCTGAGGCGGGTGGATCACGAAGTCAAGAGATGGAGACCATCCTGGCCAACATGGTGAAACCCTGTCTCTACTAAAAATACAAAAATTAGCCGGGTGTGGTGGCACGCGCCTGTAATCCTAGCTACTCAGGAGGCTGAGGCAGGAGAATTGCTTGAACCTGGGAGGCAGAGGTTGCAGGGAGCAGAGATCACACCAGGGCACTTCAGCCTGGCGACAGAGTGAGACTCCGTCTAAAAAAATAAAAATAAAAATAAAATAAAGAAAATGCAGAGATTTGAAGCAAAAAAAACTATAGATTTCTTAAACATTTTTATGATATTTTAGAGACAGTAAGTTTGAATTATACTTCTACTTTTAACTAAGTGGAATGAATGTATTTATTTGAACATGGCTCTTGATATTTTTATTGGTTTTGTTTCTTTGAAATTTCAGAAAACTTTAGTGTTGAAGTTTTCAGTTCGTTAAAATTTACTTTTAACTTACTTTTAACACCTTTCTTATGAACAATTTACCTGACAATGAGACTGTTCTAATATTTTAAAAATATTTTTTCATATTTAAAAGTTTTGTTTGCTGATTTGGAAATCTAAAATTTTTACAAACTGGAGGGAAAGAAAAATAGCCACAATTATCAAAAGTAATATGATTGATTAACAGAATATAGTTGTGTATTATCTAAACAGATATCATGCTGATGTACCTATCGATCTGTTAGAAAAAATACTTTCAATTACATTAGGAGAGGCACGGTGGCTCATGCCTGTGATGCTAGCAGTTTGGGAGGCCAAGGCAGGTGGATTACTTGAGCCCAGGAATTTTAGATCAACCCAGACAACATGGAGAAATCCTGTCTCTCCAAAAAAATACAAAAGTTAGCTGGACATGGTGGTGCACATGTGTAGTCCCGACTAATGAGGTGGCTGAGGCAAGAGGCTCATTTGAGCCAAGGAGGTCAAGACTGCAGTGGGCTAAGATCGTGCATCTGGACTCCAGCCTGGGTGACAGTGAGACCCTGTCTGAACCAAAAAAAAAAAAAAAAAAAAAAAAAAGGATTGTAACTAATTTTCTTAAGTGTTCATTGGAAATAACTTCCTTTAATTAAATTGGAATCCCAGTAAAATCTCTATCCAGTTCAACAAAATATTTTAAAGAGTTCAAGGAAGAAAAATGTCAAACAACTCGGGAATTCAAAAAATAAAACTATAAGATGTTTTTAAAAGGAACTATTACAAACTAACTTCAGATAATACTTGGAAGAGCTAGCTGTAGCTGTAATTGAATTCAATTTATTACTTATACAACTCTGATCAATTTGTCCATTGCTTTTTTTAAACGGAGTCTCACTCTGTCACCTAGGCTGGAGTGCAGTTGTGTGATCTCAGCTCACTGCAACCTCTGCCTCCCGGGTTCAAGCAGTTCTCCTGCCTCAGTCTCTTGAGTAGCTGGGATTACAGGCATGCACCACCATGCCCAGTTAATTTTTGTATTTTTAGTAGAGATGGGGTTTCACCATGTTGGTCAGGCTGGTCTTGAACTCCTGACCTCGTGATCCACCTGCCTTGGCCTCCCAAAGTGCTGGAAGCCACCATTTTTTAACTTTCCTCAACCTTTAAGGTAATGCCCATTGTGATTTTAGTTTAGTTGATCAGTCTCCAGATTAGGTGTGACTGATAGATTTCCCGTCAGAAAATTCTACCTGCCATATGGTCTGAAATCAATATGATCGCCTTCTGTAAATATCTATTGAGAGACCAACAATTTTTGATGCTGTAAGTAATATAAAAGAAACTCACGTCTCGCTCCTATCATTACGAAAAGTGTATTGATAAAATGTTGATAAATTTCTGACAAAGTTGCTTTATGTTTACAAAGAGAAGCCATAATATCCTGAGTTTCAAAATATCTACTAGATCAAACTAGCCGTAGGTCTATGACTTTGGTCATAATTCAATCAATGAGAATTGACATCTCTTCTGTAGTTTAGGGCTCAATGTCACCAGCCTTCCTACATTTGATAAATGCTCCTTCCAACAGGTACTTCAAAGCTTGTATCATCAACACATGTAGTCCTTTAGGGGCTCGGCTGCTCAGTGTGGCAGTCATGGTGGCTTATAAATTACCCATTTATAGTAGGTTTTTGGCTTTTGAAGCTGACTCAATTTCTTGAAGCTTCTGGTCCTGTCTTCTCTGGAAACAGCTTTGCCCCTCTTTACTACAGTCCCATTCCTTCGGGTGGAGCCTCTTACATTTCCTAAACACCTGAAATCTTCACTCCTCCCTTAGATAGAAAAGTTGACTCTCTTGACATGTCAGAATTTAGGTCACTTTAGTTCTTTCCTCACAAATGACGTTTCACTATCCTATAGCCATTCCTTCAGTACATGTATATTAATACTATGTAACATTTACAGAGGACTTTGTTCTAGTACCATTTAAAGCACTCTACCTAATTTGTTTGGTTTATAGTAAAATTGTGAAGCAGGAGCTATTATCTGTATTTCACAGATGAAGAAACTGAAGTGAAAAGAACTTTAATACTTGACTGAGGTTGCAAGAACTGGAATCTGCACCCTAGTAGCTTGACACCAGAGGTGTCAAAGATATAGATTGCCCAGGAACCCTGCTAAACTTCAGTCATATGTTAATACCATTTTCTTTGTAAGAATCTATGTTGTTTGTTCCTTTCTTAGGTGGGAAGGATACGAGCAAGATAAAGCAGCGAGGGATTTAAGTCTGGCAACAGTTGGACTGCTGGATTTTCAGAGAAGTGTTCCCCAAAGCAAATTATAGTGCTAATTTCCAATGTTCCATAAGCGTGGCAAGAAAAATGGGAAGTTCTCGGTAAGGTATATAGTATTATTTCTAGAAATAAAGATGAACCAATCCAAGATTGATTTTTTGTTTGTTTAATCCTGGCAGTATTCTTAACTAAATTGTATTCATTCTTCCCTTTACTTTCCAGACTTTTTAATTTTATTTATTTTTTTATTTTTTGAGACAGAGTCTTGCCCAGGCTGGAGTGCAGTGCCACAATCTTGGCTCACTGCAACCTCTGCCTCCCTGGTTCAAGCGTTTCTCCTGCCTCACCCTCCCAAGTAGCTGGGACTACAGGCACGTGCCATCACGCCAGGCTAATTTTTGCATTTTTAGTACAGATGGGGTTTTACATATTGATCAGGCTGGTCTTGGACTCCTGACTTGGTGATCCACCCGCCTCAGCCTCCCAAAGTGTTGGGATTACAGGCATGAGCCACTGCGCCAGGCCACTTTCCAGATACTATAGTCCCTAATTTATTGTGTCTCAAATGCCAAATAAATTTGAGCTTAGACTGGAGCTGCTGTACTGATACAGGATTGGATTTATGGGTGAATGGGTGACTATAGGTGTCATGTTATTTTCATAGAACCATTCAGGTTTGAAATTAAGAAGGAAAGAAGTTCCCTTGAATGGAGATAGCCAGAGGCAGAATTAAGACCTTTCTTCCAAGATCAGTCTGAAATAACATTTTGGCAAGTAAAAGAGGCATGTCTGTCATAGAAGAAATAAAAAGGCAACCTGGAAGAACAGAAAAAGGGAGGACTAGATAGAAATTAGTTAACTGTCTAGCTGGGCATGGTGGCAGGCACCTGTAATACCAGCTACTCAGGAGGCTGAGGCAGGAGAATCGCTTGAACCCAGGAAGCGGAGGTTGCAGTGAGCCGAGATCATGCCATTGCACTCCAGCCTGGGCGACAGAGTGAGACTCGAGGGCAGTGATCACCTAAATCAGTGTTTTATCAACCTTTTAAAATTATCATCCCCCTAAAGAGCCTTTCTAGACATTTTTTCCTGCTAATTCTCCCATACCCTTACCATGAAATTAAATGCTCAGGAGTGATTGTTTTGGTAAGGTTAAGCTTTGGAGTTCCACAAACTAAAAAGAGTGAGATTGTATCAAAAATTGTTTCAGTCCTCCCTGAGTTCCCCACACCCTGGGGAGCCATGTCGCCCATATGAAGAACTTGTAGCCTAAATAAATCTTATATGGGTGTATTCATAGAGTAGTTTTCCTTTGCTTACATAGCACATATCTACTATGCCAACCTCTTGTTTTGTAATATGCTTTTCTTGGATCCAGCCTTAGAATCCCAAGAGATATCTTCGTCAACATTAACTGTCATTACTATAACATCTAGTCAAGAATAGTCTAAATGGCTGGGTGTGGTGGCTCACGCCTGTAATCCCAGCACTTTGGGAGGCTGAAGTGGGTGGATCACTTTGAGCTGAGGAGTTCGAGACCAGCCTGAGCAACATGGTGAAACCCCATCTCTACTAAAAATACAAAAATTAGCCGGGCGTGGTGGTGGGCACCTATGATCCCAGCTACTGGGGAGGCTGAGGCAGGAGAATCACTTGAACCTGGGAGGCAGAGGTTGCAGTGAGCTGAGATAGCACCACTGCACTCCAGCCTGAGCGACAGAATGAGACTCCATCTCAAACAAACAAAAAAGTCTAAATGTCCTCAATTCTGTCCGTGTGTGGCACTAGTGAAGTAATTTCTGGCAAATGCTTTATCAGCATTTTCTTTCCATAGTTTATAGAGATGTTCATCCATCTTTTCATTTAGTCATTCAGTAAGTATTTGAGTGCCCATTATGGATTAGGCTTGGGTACATAGTGGTGTGATAAAGTCTCTATCCTTGTGGAGTTTAAAATGTAGTTCAACTTGTTTCTCCTCCTTTATCGCTAAAATACAGATTCTAGCCATCAGTGGTGCTATGGTCACCATGAAATTCAGGCTACAGAAATTCCTTTGGAAATGTCTGATTTAGACATTTATCACTTTCAGATGTTTTAGCCATGAAAGAATCTCATGGATTTATTGAAGAAATATGCTATGGTCAAGGACAAGGTATTGGCTCTAGAAGCCAAATTACTAGTCTTTATCCTGGCTTTTTATTTGTGAGAACATGGAGAGTTGTTTCAACCCTAGGAACCTTGATTTACTCTTTAAAACAGAGAAAATGGGCTGGGCGTGGTGGCTCACGCCTGTAATCCCAGCACTTTGGGAGGCTAGAGAGTCAGATCAGTTGAAGTCAGGAGTTTGAGACCAGCCTGGCCAGCATGGTGAAACCCCGTCTCTATTAAAATTACAAAGATTAGCTGGGCCTGGTGGCACATGCCTGTAATTTTAGCTACTCGGGAGGCCAAGGCAGGAGAATCTCTTGAACCAGGAGGTGGAGGTTGCAGTGAGTCGAGATCCCACCATTCCACTCCAGTCTGGGCGACAGAGACTCAAAAAAAAAAAAAAAAAAAGAGCAGAGAAAATGATAAACAACTTGCAGGTTGTTGTGTGGTATAATGGTCATTCATTATTTTCTACTCTTTCTGGTAAAGAGTTGGTGTGTCATGGAAAGTACCTGTTCTATGTGTGTGTGTCTGTGTGTATAATTCGGTGTGAAAATTAAAGAGAAAAAAACAATAAAAAACCCTTTCCTATACTTATGTGTAAATTACCATGGTGTGCTGCAAAAAACATATGTCAAGGTGATAGAATTATTTTGACTTTCCTGTACAGTTATAAAATGACTCAGTGAGTTTGGTTAGATATCCTCGTTCTTTGAATCTATATCCTTGTCTGCTTATGATGAAAAAAAAGAAAAAAAAATAATGGCGAGGGTCTTCCAAACTCTAAAGAATATGTCAACTATGATACAAGTAGCAGTTAGCCTTATAACTAACTGTAAACACTGTCTGTGGGTTTTAAGTTTTACCTGAGCATTGGATATTAACAGACCATTAGCCCAACTTTCAAAAATATGAACCCTATGAACTTCACAACTGAAGTCAGATCTGTATGCCTGAGAGAGGTAAAATCATGTCATGAAATCAAACGGTGGCTGATGCGCCCAAATTCTGGCCTCATCCTCTAACTGGAGGACATCTGGCAGGACAGCAACTGGGCTGTGCCTTTTTTCAGTCCAGCAACATCTTCCACTCAACCCACGCCATTTGGCTGTTTCCCCATTGCCCCTGGCACCTAGCCCTCCGGTACCGGGAACTAAATATCTTTGACCATCCCGCCCGCGGGGTCTGCCTACTTAACCTGAGGCAGGTGAAAGAGCCTCACGCAGGGTTAGGAACCTCCGGGGGCGTGGCGTAGCGTAACGCAGTGTTGGGGAAACTTGCGGCTGTGGATTGGGGGACCGGAAAGGGAGGGGTGGGCCGCAGGCGCCGGACGTGACGTAAGCCGGAAGCGACTTTCCGCCGAGAAATAGGGGGCGCGTGTTTGGAAATTGATAGAAAAGATAAAGGGACCGAGCTGCTGTCAGCCTGGCTTACTGATCTGCGTCCGTTTCACCACGGATTCAGTTACTAAGCATTTTTTTCTTTTTTTGGTTCTTTGCAACGTGAGTGGCATTGGCTCAGTGATTTCCATGAGCATCTCTACCAGAAAACATTGCCTCGATGAGGTGTGGTGGAAGCCCGGCAGCCCCTTCTAATCGGCTAGGCTTGAGAAAGCGTGTACCTCTGCATTTCCGAAATTAACTCAGCGTGATCGGCAAGATTTTCCTCAGCATCTGGTGTCAAGACACTCGTCACTATTAATTCGGAAAGAAAAAAAAAAACAAAACACCGTTTTCCAGCATTTCTCTTGGTGGAGAACTAAACAACAGGAAAAATGTCTATTTTCCCTAAGATATCTTTGAGACCTGAGGTTGAAAACTATCTTAAGGAAGGCTTTATGAATAAGGAGGTAGGTCAAGTAAAGATGTTAGTTGATATTTTGCAAAAACTCAAATATTCGCACACTCGAGAGAAATAGAAATAAGTATAAAGGGAAATCTTGACAGCCGTCGTTCCTTACTACTTGTCTATCAAGTGTAAAAATACCAATATGTTTCTACAGGTATTAAAGCTTACTGAGATACGAAGTGAATAAGGTATATGTTTTAACATTTAGGAGTGGAAAAGAAGGGAAAAAAGGCATGTGCCTGTCAGGCATGGCACAAAGGGTTACAAGGATGAACAAGAAAAGGTCCCTGTCTTCAAGAACTCGAATCGAATTTTAAAAGAGCGCTGGCTCTGGCACTCAGGTGAAAAGGTTTCTGTAATTTGTTGAGTGCCTCTTAAATGCCAGCAGTTGTGCTAGGAGATTTGCATCTTTAATCTTCACAATCTTTTTTTTCTTAGAGGTTTTTCCTCTTTTAATAGACTTGAGCAGAAAACTGCTCAAGGAATTGTGTAACTGATCCAAGTTGACACAGCTATCAAGTAACTATTGAAATCTGGAGGGAAAGAGTTCAGGTGTAATGAACAAAGGTACAGCTTTTGAATCTCAGGCACATGATTTGCATTCTAGTGCTTTGTAAATTACGTGGCTTAACCTAGATTTTTCTCTTCTGTGAAAAATTGAGAATGGTTAAAAATATCTTGCCAGGTTGTTTTAGGATATTAAACGTAAGTGAATACAACTAGCATTGTTTTGGCATGTAAGTCCTCAAAAAATGTTAATTTTATTTGCTAAAGTCCTCAGTAAATGTTGATTATCTTTGATTGCAAAGCCTGTTGTCTATTCCATTTTACCATGCTGCCTCTAAGCAACTTTGTTTTTTTTCAAATCTTTAATTTTTTAGTCAAGTTAAAAATATTTTACCAGGTTGTTTTAGGATATTAAACGTAAATGAAAACAACTTGCATTGTTTTGGCATGTAAGTCTTCAAAAAATGTTAATTTTGTTTGCAATTGGCAGTGCCTGCCACAGAAGTCCTCAGTAAATGTTGATTGTCTTTTATTGCAAAGCCTGTCCTCTCTACCACTTTACCATGTTGCCTCTAAGCAACTTTGTTTTTTTTGAAATCTTTAGTTTTCTTAGTTAGAGTAACACCACTTAAATGTTACTCATTTTTGAATATGTTATTGAAGCCATGCCTTTTAGATTTGATTTCTACGTTTCATTTCCAAAGATTAGCTTGAGGTACTAGACTGTATGGAAAGAGAAAATATATTCTGTTGATTTCAAGGGACTTAAAATATAAGGCACATATTAGGAGAAGTAGGGGCATACCACAATTTTTTCAGCAGATTTTAAAATGGAGAACGTCGTTTTATAAAGAAGATCCAAACGTCTTTCTTTGACACTGCCTCTGCCTCGAGTCTCATCAGTGGTATGGTTTTACAAAATGAAAAGCTATGCCTTTGTGAAAAGTACTGAAGGGAAAGGAATATTAAGTTTTATGCCTTTTTTTTTTTTTTTTGAGACAGGGTCTCCCTCTGTTGCCCATGTTGGAGTGCAGTGACATGATCACAGCTCACTGCTGCTTCGACCTCTGGGACTCAAGTGATCCTCTCACCTCAGCCTCCCGAGTAGCTGGGACCTCAGACAGGGGCCACCACTCTGGCTAATAATATTTGTATTGTTTGTAGTGATGGGGTTTCACCATGTTGCCCAGGCTGAATGTTCAGTTTTGATAAGACTAAACCTTGAGAAAGTATGAATACTTTTAAGGCTGGTGCATGAGTAGGCTAACAAGTGGTTTGTGAAGATTCTGTAAAGCAGGGTTTAGTCAAATAGGAAGACAAAGAAATACGTTTCTTGAAAAGCTTCGGTTAATTACAAGGGAATATTGTTGAGTCTTTATACCGTCATATTTGACAGGTGTCTTTGCTACTCATCTTTTTTGGATAATATATATTTGTTACATTTAATAACACCATATTAAAAAGCTGATGTCCTAGGGGAATCTTTATATGACAGTGACTATATCAATATTACTTATTTTTTAAATATTGGTATTTTAAAAGGATACCAGCCAGTTTGCTCTTGGATATGATGTTAGCTAATTAGCTAACGTCCAACTAACTTGGATATAATGCTAGCTCTACAGAGATGCTGTAATGGTAATGCATTATAAATAGACTGAATTCCTGAATTTATGTGAATAAATGTAGCAGATACTAATATTTGGAAAATGTTCATAATGCTTTGAAGTTTAGGCAATGTTTTTCTAAGCCCTTTATTTCAGGCATTTTCTTAGGTGTTTATTACCATGTTGAAGCCCAAGAACCCCGTGAAGTATTACTATTTCCTTAGTTGCTATTAACATATAAACAATACAGCAAAATAGAATGGAGCTGAACAATTGCTAAGCGATGTTTCATTAGATGGAATTAATATATAAGGATGCTCTGCTGACTGTTTTTAATTCTCAGGAAATTTAAACATGAACTTCTTTTTAGATTGTGACTGCTTTAGGTAAACAAGAAGCAGAAAGGAAGTTTGAAACTTTGTTAAAGCACCTGTCACATCCTCCATCATTTACAACTGTCAGAGTGAATACACATTTAGCCTCAGTACAACATGTGAAAAATCTGTTACTTGATGAACTTCAGAAGGTTTGTGGAAATTTTCTGTCATTTGTACATAATTACATTTTTGCAATCTACCATGTTTTCCATTAAAATCCTATGAATGATATAATACACTTCCAGTTTTACAGATAAGGAGATTGAGGACCATGAATGGTAAATTCTTCAAAGTTATCCTAGGTGGTAATGCTAGAACTTGAACCTAGTACTTCTGATTCTAAATTTATTCATTTTTGGTGACTAAAATAGCTCATTAAACCCCTCTGGGCCGCATTAAACTGGGCCTTAGTAGCTTCATCATTAAAATACATGTGAAGAAGTCCAGTCTAACCTTAAAAACCTGTGGCTTTGTGATAAGTAGCATATAATGACCAGGAGGACAGATGGTATAGCTGAGATAATAAGCCCAGGGGTAAGGAGGTACATACTAAGTACCTGTGAGATTATATTGTTAATTGACATAAAAAAATAGATGTTGGGCCAGGCGTGGTGGCTCATGCCTGTAATCGCAGCATTTTGGGAGGCTGAAGCAGGTGGATCACATGAGGCCAGGACTTTGGGACCAGCCTGGCCAGTATGGCGAAACCCTGTCTCTACTAAAACATATAAAAAAATTATTCGGGCATGATGGCACATGCCTGTGATCTCAGCTACTTGGGAGGCTGAGGCACGAGTAATCCCTTGAACCCGGGAGGTGGAGGTTGCAGTGAGCCGAAATTGCATGACTGCACTCCAGCCTGGGCGATGGAATGAGACTCTGTCTCAAAAAAAAAAAAAAAAAAAAAAAAAAACAAGGTGTTGAGCGCCTTATGTTTTATAAAACCAGGAAATTAAGATGATGAATCTGAATCTATTTTCAATGTAAAACAGCATGAGACTTTTTTTACCCAACCAATAAAATAGTTTTGGCAAAATATTCCTCTTACAGATGAAAACAATATTATAAAATGGCATTTATGACTTCTAAGCAGAAAGTATGAGTTATCTTGTTTATATTTTTTTGAGTTATCTTGTATATACTCTTTTGCTTTTGAAAGCTTTGCCTTAGGTGTTTCATACACTGTACACTGAAATTTACCTCAAAAGCAATGTAGGATGTAGAAGAATAGATGCTGAGAGGTACCACATAAATTGTATACTGTAGTTATTCACTGACTGGTAACATGTAACGTGGGTGTCAGCAGACTCATTTCTGCCTTATTTGTGTCTGAGTTAAAAGCGAGAGGCAACCATGATTAAAGGGTTTCCATTTGTCAATCACAAGCTGTATTTAGTTATTTAGAAAATTTCAGAAAATTATCACTGAGTCACTTATCCCCTTTTAAAAAATCTCTCTATTACATTTATGGACTCTTTGTCATACTCTATTTAAGAACAACTATAAGTACCAAGTTGTGAATAGACAACCATGTTATTAGAAGAACCAGCTATGGCATCTCAGTGTATGAGACCAAACCTTAGTATAATAATTAAATAAGATTTTTTAAAAATTAATCTGATTTTTATTGATAGTGATAATCTTATTGAGAGTAATGACAGGTATAAAACATAAGTAGTTGCCCTAAGCAACTAAAATCATTACTTTTCCATAACCATGTGTATGTTTTCAGCTAATAAAAAGGAAACTGTTCTGAGGCCCACTGGAAGTATCCATAACTCAGATCCAGATTTTTTTTGTTTTGTTTTGAGAGGGAGTCTCACTCTGTCGCCCAGGCTGCAGTGCGGTGGCACGATCTTGGCTCACTGCAACCTCTGCTTCCTGTGTTCAAGCGATTCTCCTGCCTCAACCTCCCAAGTAGCTGGGACTACAGACGCCTGCTACATTTTTGTATTTTTAGTAGAGATGGGGTTTCACCATATTGGCTAGGCTGGTCTCGAACTCCTGACCCTGTGATCTGCCCACCTTGGCCTCCCAAACTGCTGGGATTACAGGCGTGAGGCCTTGTGCCTGGCTTTATTATTTTTTTTTTCCACAACAAATGATTTCCAGAACCTGGATATTTTAGCATCCTAGTCTGGATATACAAGATCCCATGGGCTAGGATCAGTCACTCTGGACTTTGGGTCCCTTTCTTTGAAGGTTAACGTTGGACAGGGAAGCTTCGGTCAGAGTCACTAGATAGGAAACCAATGGTAAAGCAGTACCCGATTCT